>NC_000003.12:165978301-166129816 GCF_000001405.40 Homo sapiens | reverse complement strand
CAGGAAAAAAAAAATATATATACACACACACACACACATATATACACACACATACATACATATACATATATATGTATATATATACATGTACCATGTGCCCATGAAAATTAAAAAATTTTAAAAATTAAAAATAAAATAACTAGAAAGTCCACTGTCCTTATCACCACAAAGCTCAGGAACTGTAAAGGTAAATAATGGAATCCTACCATTATAAATATCAAGGATCTTATAAGCCTAACCCTTACATGCCCCAAATTATTGCCTATATCCTTGATGGTGCTAAGATAATGTGCCTAGGCCCCCCGTGTCATCTCCTGAGTTAGTAACAGTCTGTTCCGAGCATTTGGAAGTTTTGAGATTTTACTCTATTACTGACTAATGTGACTAAATACTGCCAGAGACCCATATAAAATCTTCAGCTTTACTACAAACACATTCAAATTGCATATTCAAAATTATCACCTGAAAGGCTCCCGCATGATTTGAAACAGGAAAATTTGGTCTTCTGGAGAAGGTATCAAGAAAGTATGTTCTTGAATACAATGAAAAAAACCCTAACCATTATTGTTAATAACTGACACAAAACCACACAATGCTTATCCTTTGACTTATGATTTCCAACTAAAAATTCAAATGTAAGATTTTCCTGATTACTGACTAAGTCTATACAGAAATGTCAAACTTAGGATTTTTAGAAATTCACCAGGAAAACACTGTAGAAGTAGACTTTCACCATAGATATCAAAGCAAGCTAAAGATTGCAAAAGCAGACAGATTCTGAGCAAGATGAGAAAACAACATTAATTATCTGATTCATCAGTACTCTCTTTCTTCTTTTTGTTTGATCAGTAATCTTGCCTATCATTGTATTTTGACATGATCTTTTGATTAACAAAGCATTTTCTCAGTATGTTCATTCTTACCATAATCTTGTTACTTTTAAACACTAAGATCTTTTCCCATTGCCCTCAATTTAACCAATTGATGGGTCTCTCATCTTTTACCTAACACTCCTGGAAAAATATCTAAAAGCCATTTCATAAAACATTTATTTTATTTTAACTTATTTTATTTTATTTTTATTTTTATTTTTGAGACAGAATTTCACCACTCACTGCAACCTCTGCCTCTTGGTTTCAATTGATTCTCTGTCCTCAGCCTCCGAAGTAGCTTGGATTACAGGCATCCACACCATACCTGGCTAATTTTGTATTTTTAGTCGAGATGGAGTTTTACCATGTTGTTCAGGCTGGTCTCGAGCTCCTGACCTCAAGTGATGTATCCGCCTCAGCCTCCCAAAGTGCTGGGATTACAGGTGTGAGCCACTGCACCCAGTTCATTAAATATTTTAGAAGATAAAAATCCTTTAAAGTTCTCTTACTTAAGTTTTTAATCACAAAATTGATGCTAAAATTCAGTCTTGTTACATATTGAATTTTCACCCATATCAACAAAATATTTGTGTGGAAGAATTACAACTCTACCAGAAAAATTTAGCTCACCCAGAATGGGAAGTGATGTTGGGTTTATCTTTGGTTCAAGAGTTAGCCTCTGTTATTTAGAGACATTCCAGTCTGCTTTGCAGAGACTGTCTCCATTCAAAGAATATGACCTTTGAATATTCTTAAGGGATCAATAACTAATTCACTTCTGATAAGGGATCAATAACTAATTCACTTCTGATAAGATAAGTAATATTATATTCCCAATAGCTACTATGTCCTTCTTATTAGGACACACTTTCCGCTCTGGAACCCAAATGAACCAATTTAAACTTGAATTTATTAGCCAAAATTGTCATGGATAAATGCATAGCCTTTTATTTTGTTTATCTACCCAAGAAGGAAATAATTCTATAGCAAACACTTCTCATTGCACGTGTATAAATACTGTAGGTCACACAGAATAGTAGTTGTCTTTTGCTGGAGGACATCAACAGACATTTAGCAGGAAAGACAATAGAAAGTTTAATGATGTGACTGACATAATTACTAAAATAAACGTGTTTATATTTTGGTTTATAAAAGTATAACATGCCTACTGTGTCGAACCTGAGAAAATTAAAATTCCTTAATCCTACTATAATTCTAAAAAAAAAACATTTAACATGCCCAGCTGTATCCGTACAGAACCTGCCATTATCTACAACACCTGCTACCGTTCTTAGAAAAGTCCAAAAGACTGCCTAAATAAAAGGAATTTTTACATTACCCCTTCTTATTTTAATAATAGTTAAATTACATAAAACTTATATACATATAAATGCATAGGATATATTTTGATATTTAAGAAAACAACTATAGCATTTGTAGAAAGTTGTTCATCAACATGGGACTCCATTTGATAACAAAATAGTTATACACTCAGTCAGTTGCTGAAGGCTCACATACGGCATTATCATATAGCGTATGTTTAAAATATTATTAAAATTGTTTTCAAAATAAATACACTGCAAATAAATAAACATACAAATCAATATGGTTTGGATCTGTATCCCCACCAAATCTCATGTCGAATTGTAATCCCTAATGTTGGAGGTTGGGCTGGTGGAAGGTGGTTGGATCTTGGGGGCAAATTTCTCATGAATGATTTAGCAACATCTCTCTTGACACTGTACTCGCGATCCTGAGTGAGTTTCCGTGAAATCTGGTAGTTTAAAAGTGTGTGGCATCTCTCCCCTCTCTCTCTCGCTCCTACTAGTGCCATGTGAGACGTCTTGCTCTCGCTTTGTCTTCCACCATGATTGGAAGCTTCCTGAGGCCTCCCCAGAAGCAGAAGCCCCGTGCTTTCTGTATACTCTGCAGAACCATGCACCAATGAAAACTCTTTTTTTTTTTTCTTTGTGGTGCAGTCTTGATCTGTCACCCAGGCTGAGTGCAGTGGCGCGATCGCACCTCACTGCCTCATATCTAGTAGCTGGGATTACAGGTGTGCACCACCAGGTCAGGCTTTTTTTTTTTTTTTTTTTTTTTTTTTAGTAGAGATGGGGTTTTATCATGTTGGCCCGGCTGATCTTCAACTGCAAATGATCCGCCCACCGCGGCCTCCCAAAGTGCTAGGATTACAGGCATGAGTTATCACGTCGGAACCTCTTCTATTTTTAAATTACTCATTCTCAGGTATTTCTTTATAGCAATGCAAGACCGGACTAATACATAAAATATTCTGAAAAATACAGCTATTTAATGGCAAAGCAAAGGTATGTTATTAAACTATGTCTGAAATTATTAATGAACAGAAGTAAAAATCAACATATCTTTGTGTATCTATTATGTGCAAGATATTACTAAGCAATATCTGGAAATTAGTTGAAGATAATGTCAAAAAATATTTAATAGATAAAAATGATACAAATTCTTCTTTTTGTAAAAATTTCCTACTACGGAAATAAAATGCTTTTGTCAATAGTTCTCTGAATTGTAACACTGAAAATACATTTTTCTTGAATTTGTATATTAGTAAATATAAAATATATTTTTAAATGAGATAACTATTTTATATAAAACTAGGGAAATGCTTCATTTGAAGAGAAGTGAGATCACATTAATAAATGCAAGAAATCTTCAGAAGCAAATATTTTGGTTGGTCAAAGTGCTTTAGAGAAGACAAAATTAATAAAAACTCCCATAGCATCTCAGCTGACATAAGTCTGTGGGAATTCTTTTCTTGGATTTATTAAGCTTCTACAGATGGATAAATAGCAACATATATTTGCTAAAATCATTCTTCAAAGCCTTTAATCTCCAGAGTAAGGATGTGATATAAATTGTTGAATTTTCTTGAAAATGACAAGTCATTTTCATCCATTTAGCAAACAGATCCTTAAAAATAAGATAAAGGAGAAACAGAGAATACTAGTAATAAAATCCTTGAAACAATTGCTAATTTAAAAGTAGATGAGCATATTGGGCTTCGCTTCTTGGAGATGAGGTAGGCATACTTTTTCCTATTCCTTCCATTAAGCACAATTATTAACTTCGTGCATTACACATAAAGCAAACATAACAAAACTCTGAAAGGTAAAGAGAAAACGAGAGACCGGCTAATGAGCTCAGGACCCAAAGAGCAACAAGGTGGTGATTCCCGAGGGCTTTCCTTTGCCTTCTTATATTTCAAACAGGGAAACAGGCACAGATTAACTAAGATCCAAATAAAGCATGGTCTCAGTAGCTTTTCATGCCAGGAAAAAGAGAACTTACCAAGAAATAAACTTTTTAGGCAATAAACACTATTTATCCAAACACACACACACACACACACACACACGGTGCCACTGTAGCTCCACCTCTCTCCATGCCAGTAAAGGCCAATTGACGATTCCAGACTTTCTCTACCTCCAGGCTGTAACTAGGCTTCCCCAAATCCTCTCTAGGGTGGTATCAAAAAATCAGAGGAAGTTAGGACCTTCACCTCCACTAGGTGATAACAAGATCTCTCTTTTCCCTCTGCATTATCACTGGAGACCACTGGGGAGCCTGGTCTTACACAACACCCAGCAGTAAGGTGGTGCTGTGCCCTCTCTTCCTTGGGGATTCAGAAAAGACATAGTGGAGTGTAAGGACATTCACTACCACTCAGTCTTCATGGGATCACCTCACCTCTTGCTCTGGTTATGTCTGAGAAACAGTCATAGTCAAAAGTAAAGAGGAGCCAAAGGAGATGAAATGTAATATGGTATCCTGGATAAAATAGTGGAACAGACACAAGACATTCTAATGTAATCTATATAAACTATGGGCTGTAGTTGCTAATAACTGTCAATATTGGTTCATAATTATAATAATGTACACACCAATGTAATATATTAACGATTGGGGAAACTGAGTGCAGAGTATATGTTAAATCTCTGTACTGGCTTCTCAATTTTTCAATAAACCTAAAACTGTTCTAAAAAATAACATCTATAAAACACATACAGGTCCACATGCATATTAATATATACACAATCACCTTAAAGTGAAAAGGGAAAATTCTGAGTAGAAGATATTTGTAATGCACACATTCAATATAAGTCCCATATGCAAATGTATGAAGAAGTCTTACAAATCAATAAGAAACAGATAAATTATGTAATTTATTAAATGGTCAAGAGATGTCCAAACACTTTTTAAAAACAAGAATAACCAAATGGCAATAAACACAGGAAATAGTACTTAACCTTATTTATCACCAGTAAATGCAAAATAAATCCACAATATGATATTATGACACTCCAACAAAAATGACAATCAATGATACAGAAGAAACAAAAGTGTCAGAAAAGGGATGTAACAACTAGTATTTTTATGCACTGCTAGTTCAATGATTAAGTTGTATAAACATTTCGAAAAACAGTTTGACATTATCTACTACAGCTGAACAAATGAATATCCCAAGTCCTCATACGTCTACTCCAACAGAAATGTAAATGTGTGTTGACCGGTGAGGTGACTTATGCCTGTAGGCCTAGCACTTTGGGAGGCCGAGGCTGGCAGACCGCTTGAGGCCAGGAGTTAGAGACCAGCCTGGCAAACACTGCGAAACCCCATTTCTACAAAAAATACAAAAATTAGTCAGGGGTTGTGGTGTGTGCCTGTAGTCCCGTCTACTCAGGAGGCTGAGTTGGGAGGATGGCTTTAGACCAAGAGTTTGAGGTTGCAGTGAACCAAGATCACAGCCACTGGACTCCAGCTTGGGTGACAGAGTGAGATCTTGCCACAAAAAAGAAAAAAAGGAAGAAAGAAATATAAATGTGTGTGTGTGTATGTCTGTATCTATATGTGTATACATATGTATACATACTTACGTGTGTATATATGATATGCATATATTGACATACACAAATGTGTTCATAGTAGCATAGTGTTATTACCAAACAGGAAACTACCCAAATAGCCATTAAAAGTAGATCTTATAAATAAATTATGCCACAATCACACAAAAGAGTACTAAACTGTAATGAGAATGTCTACAGTGATACATGATAATGGTAATGAATTACACAAACATAAAATTGAACAAAAGAAGCCTAATGCATAATAATATAAATTTCAAAAGAAGGGGTTTTGCCTGTAGGGCTCAGACTATAAAGAAGCTTGGGCAAGTGAGATTCCTGAAGCATTGCTAACTTCCTGAAGCATTGCTAACTTTCTGTTTCTTGATCATGGTTCCAGAGCTTGCTTTGTGGACATTCATCTAGCTGTGCATCTATATGTTCATGTTTCTATATGCACATTATAGCTAAGTAAACCTTTAGAAACATAAAATGAGTTAGTTCCATATATTCTGACACAAACTTCCATAATACATTATGAAGGGAAAGAGTACATTGTGATATAGTATATTACATGATAAACCATACAGAAGGGAAAATAATGCTTTGCTATTGTGTTAGCATTCTCTTAATGATCACACATTTTTGTCATTAAAAATACTTTTTAGTTAATCATTTTTTTTTACTTATCTGTGCTCACATATGTCTACTTTATTACTGCAATATTATATAACTCTGTAAAGCTTTTTGAGGAGGAACCAGAATTACAAGTAAATAATGCATGCATTGTGAAAGAGGAAAACATTCCAGAGAATGCTTACTTTCTGCTCAATCAAGCATCTTATCCTGGTGTTATTATGCCAAAAATACACTTTTGAGACTTTGACAACTACTGCTTTTTTTGCATTATTCTTTTGGCCAAGTCAAACTGGCTGACTGATTCCCTCCCTACTTTCCTGTCTTACATATTTGCTCTCTCTACTTATTTGGGGAAAAAATTCCTTCCTTTATCACTTCTACATCCACCTGTTTATATTCTTTCAGTTTAAACTGAAATTGCTTCAGTTTAAAAATTATGAATAACATTCTCTCTGATTGTACTCTTTTCTTACGTAGTATGGGGAAAAATAATAATTTTCATTGAAGATATCTTCCAAATAAAGAATAGACAGCCACCTCAAGTTTTAACATAATTCTTTCCTGGAAATGTGATCTTCTCAAGGGAATATATTTGTTGACTGTTGTGATAATTTAATTCAGATAATAGAATTATTGTATTCTTTATGAGTATTTTACTTTTCACTCTTAAAAAAGGTTTTATGTACTTTTTTAGAATTTCATTTTCATGTCGCTTTATTTGATCTATTTATTAGTTTTTTTATTTTTCATGTTTTGGCTTATTTTTTGAAAGCTAAACTGGAATTGCCTGTATTTGAGTCAGAGCTTTATGCAATGGTTTTTTATAACCACTGTGAATTCATTATAATTTTCTTGAGAATTTTCTACTTGAATAAAAACATATTGTTCCCCATATACCTTGGATTTTTCCACTGTTTCCTAAGCCTAAAATATCCTTCTAACATGTTTTTTCTGCCTAACAAAATTCTGCAAGTTTCAATTCAAAGGTCATTTCTCCATTAAATTTTGATCTTTCAATCAAAATTGATGACTTCTAGAATGAAGGAATTCTAGATGCTCCCCCATAGCAACCTGTCAACTGCTTTTATACAATAGATTGTCAGTCATTTGAAAGTCTCCTGTATGTTCTACCTTAACCCTACCCCCATTCACCACATACATATATACATATATGTACATACACATTTACATATACACACATATACTACAATATTACCGTAATGCTTGGTAAGTCATAATATTCACTCTGTGTTTTTTTATTGTATTTCAGTTGTTCAGATCATCTCATGTACTAAAAATTAAGTACATAAAAAATAATGCTCAGCAAAATTTTTCTTGATATACCTATCAAGATAAAATGCTTTTCATAGCATTTCCGGAACAACATGAAATAAGAAATCATTAAGATTTAGATTAATTTGTATTGATTAAAATAGTCTTTTTTAAAGGCACAATTAGATATCTACGTTTCTTCTGACCCAACTCTATTATTGCTTATTACAATATTTATTGTTATGTAGGAAATCATTAAGAAAAACTTGAGTATTTCCGAATTTATCATTTTTATTAGACTTCAATTGATGTATAAAATAATAGTGCACAAAAATATTAAATCAATTCAATTTGAATCTAAGATTGGTTTATGTTATCCATGATATCACTAACTACATAATTAGAAAAAATCAGCTAGAGTGTCTCAAAGAAATTCAATCCCACTTTTATCTTTAAATTAATCCAATTTTTATTTAGTACAATACCAACTCATAATTATTTTAAATGAATATTATAAGTTCATAGATAAGGGAATATCAAATAACTTCCCTGGAGTGGTAAGTTTAAAAGAAGGCTCATCTGGACTTCTTTTAAACTTTTATAAGTGACTGTATATATAAAGTGATTTAACAAATAATTTAAAGGTATAACAAATTAAAAGCAAGCTTTTCTTATGTACACGCATTATTGGGCAGTTTGAGTAATTTTTATGTATAGCAACACTTTCTATCAAGTCTTCTGTGTAATGTTGTCAATATTAATGAAAATGTGTCCTAAAACAAAACAAATAAAATATGATAAATCAAACCCATGGATAGAAAATAGCACATTTTAACAATATTAGCCACAAATATACATATATATATATGTATATAGCTAGGTATTTGAACAAATCGAGAGATTTTGTATATTAATTATGTGCCTGAATTACTCTATCATCTGATTTCTAAAGGAAAGTAACTTTCTGTATTTTAGAATTTGTTGTGTCAAAATTAATAACTATACAAAAAATTTGTACTTTGCTTTTTAAGTAAACCATCACTGACCAATAATACATGGCAAAATAAATTGAGAATACAAAAGAAAGAATGAATGGTATTCCCCCTGAGTAGAAATTATTATTTTTGCAATATGATTAATGATCTGTATAGAAGAAAAAAAGATTTACCTTTTCATCCAAATGGAAATTTTAATGGCTTATAGCTGCAATTACATGTATAGTGTATGATACTTTTGTATTCTTGGGTCACCATACCAAATGTTAAATAAATAAAAGTTTCTGAACTTTCATTAAATGCAGAAAATTTTTTGCCTGAGTTAGTGAGCTCCTTCTGATTTCTAGTAAACTATTTTTCTTCAGTTTCACAAGTTTATTCAATATATCATTTTCAAGTAAATTCACCTCCATTGCAATAGAGTATCTTCTCTTTTATCAAAATCCTTCTTTCAAAGTTTTCCATGTTTTCAGATTTTGGGGAGGACAGAAAATTAAATTATCTTATTGATAAATAAATGATAATGTTTATAATTGTATAATAGATATCTATCTAAACTCAAATATTATATTAAGTGGCGATCTCTGTATCTTAACCCTTAGAAATGACTAATGATGGAAATTTAGTGACAGAATGAAGATGAAAATATTTGGTAGAATGCCTATTCAAACCTAGGCTTAATTAATACAGCTAGGCAAATGACTCACCTTATCACTCCAAATAAGTTATTTGATTGTTTCCTTATCTATTAAACTGTAATAGTCATTTAAAAATAATTGTTAATTGGTATTGTACTAAACAAAAATTGGGTTTATTTAAATGTAAAAGTACCAGTGAAAAATATCAGATTTAGATTTGAAGTGAAATAATTGAGTTGAAGATAAAGACTTGTAAATACACATTTTTTTTCTTTTTGTCCTTTGCATCATTTGTGATCAATGCTCTGCTAAGCTGAGTTAATCTCTGTTTTGCACTTTGCATTTTATGTGTAAACAGTAACAGCTGATGTCCAGACTAATTCACATGAGGGTATTTGACCTATTCACAAATAACACAACAGCATTTCGGTACACATAAAACACTCTCCCATTGCATTTATAAAGTAATATAGAAAAGTTGAGATTGCATGACAAACACATATTTACAGGCACACCTCAGTTCCAGATCACCAAAGAAAGCCAAGATTATAAAGCAAGTTACAAAAATTATTTGTTTTCCCAGTACATATAAAAGTTACGTTTATACTGTACTGTAATCCATTAAGTATACAGTAGCACTATGTCTAATAAAAGTGCATACCTTAATTAAATAATACTTTGTTGCTAAAAAATGCTAATGATCATCTGGGCCTTCAGTAAAACACAGTATTTATTCTGGTGGGGGCATCTTGCCTTAATGTTGATGGCTGGTTTTTTGACTGATTAGGGTAGTGGTTACTGAAGGCTGTGGTGGCTGTGGCAGTTTCTTAAAATAAGACAATAGTGATGTTTGCTCCATTGAGTAACTTTTTTTCACAAAAGGTTTTCTGTAATATGTAATGCTCTTTGATAGCATTTTACTCACAGCAGAACCTCATTCTAAATTGTAGTCAACCCTCTGAAACCCTGGCACTTCTTCATTAACTAAGTTTATGTAATATTCTAAATCATTTCCACAAGGTATGCAGCCTCTTCACAAGGAATAGATTCCATTTCAAGAAACTGCTCTATTTGTTATATTTCTTTAACTATGAGAAACCACTCTTTATCTGTTTGATCATGATATTGCAGCAATTCGGTCACATCTTCAGGCTCCACTTCTAATTTGAGTTTCCTTGCTATTTTTACCATGCCTACAATTACTTCCTCCATTGAATTCTTGAACCATTCAGTCATCCAGGAGGGCTAATATTAATTTCTTTCAAACTCTTGTTATGTTGATGTTATCTGACAGGAATCACAGTTTTTGTAATGGCATCTAGAACGATAAATCCTTCCAGGTTTTCTATTTACTTTACTCAGATCCATCAGTGGGATTACTACTATCTATGGCAGCTATAGCCTTACAAAATGTATTTCTTAAAAAATAAGACTTAAAAGTCAACAAGACTCCCTGATCCATGGACAGAAGAGATGCTGTGTTATCAGGCATGAAAACAAATTAATTACCTTGTACATCTTCATCAATATTCTTCAGTCACCAGGTGCATTTCCAATGAATGGTAGTATTTTGAGGGAAATATTTTTGTCTGAGTAGTAGGTCTCAATAGTGGGCTTAAAATATTCGGTAAACAATGCTGTAAACAGAGGTGCTGTCATCCAGGCTTTGTTCTTCCATTTATAGAGTACAGACAGAAAAGACACTTTTATACTCTTGGGTCACCATACCAAATACAAAATGAATAAAATAATTAGCATAATTCTTAAGCATGCTAGAATTTTTTAAATACTAAATGAGCTTTGGCTTCAAGTCAGAGTCACCAGGTCCATTAGACCCTAAAAAGAGTCACCCTGAACTTTGATGCTTTGAAACAGGCATTGATTTCATCTCTAGAGTTCTGAAAGTTCTAAATGGCATCTTCTAATATAAAGCAGTTTAATCTACATGGAAAATCTGAGATTTTTTTAGTGTAGTAGCTGCCTTTGTCCATTATCTTAGCTAGATCTTCTGCATAACTTGTTACAGCTTCTCCTTCAGTACCTGCTGCTTCATCTTGTACTTTTATGTAACGTAGGTAGGTAGCTGCTTTCCTTCAGCCTCATGAACCAACCTTTGTTAGATCCAAACGTTTCTTCTGCAGCTTCCTCACCTTTCTCTGCCTTCATAGAAGTGATGAGAGTTAGAACCTTGCTCTGGATTCATCTTTGGCCGAAGGGAATGTCATGGCTAGTTTGATCTTTTATCCAGAACACTCAAATTTTCTCCATATCAGCAATTTCAGTGTTTTGCTTCCTTTTCATTTGGGTGTTCATCAGAGTAGCACTTTTAATTTCCTCCAAGAACTTTTCCTTTGTATTCACAGTTGGCTAATTGTTTGGTGTAACAGGCTTACCTTTTGGCTATCTCAGCTTTCAACATGTCTTCCTCATTAAGCTTAATATTTCCAACTTTTGAATTAAAGTGAAAGACATACAAGTCTTGTTTCACTTGGACACTTAGAGGGCATTGTGGGTTTATTAATTGGCCTAATTTTAACATTGTTGTGTCTCAGGGAATACAGAGGCCCAAGAAGAGCATGAGAGGCTGAGAAATGCTTGTTGGTAGAGCAATCAGAGCACATACAACATCTGTATTAAGTTTTCCCTCTTATATGAGCACAGTTCTTGCAGCCCCAAAACAATTATAATAGTAATGTCACAAATTACTGATCACAGATCATAATAACAGATATAATAATAACTTAAACATTTGAAATATTGCAAAAACCACCAAAACATGACAGAGACACAAAGTGAGCACACGCTGTTGGAAAACTAGCACCAATAGAATTGGTTGACACAAGGTTATTACAAACCTCCATTTTATATAAAGTGCAATAGCAGTGAAAAGCAATAAAGCAAAGCACAATAAAACAAGACACATCTGTACTTTAAAACAATGTTTCAGAAAACAGTATGGAAATTCTATAAAATGGTGTATATATCTGCATGCCTGTGTTAAAACATCTCATGTACCACATAAATACACCTACTATGTATCCACAAAAAATTAAAAGTTAAAAAAATTAAAAATCTATAAACATTTAAACCATAAAGGAGGGCAAAAATTTTGCATTAGTTTTAAACATTAAAGAAAAGTGTTATATGAGTCTAAAAATAAAATACAAACTGTGATGGAACTATATTCACAAATGTATTACAAAAAGACAACTTGTCTATTATTTTTTCATTATTTATGCTTTTTATAAAAGAATATCTATGAAAACATTGAAACAGTTATGTAATATTTAATCTTTCAATCCCATTCATATTCTCTATAACTCTTCATGACATTATTCAACTACTGTTAACTATGAGAATTTAAATAATCCTTTAGAGGTAGCTTAGGTAACAGAAAGTATCTATAATAAACTCCAAGAAGTAATATATTGGATTTCTAAATTATAACTTTAAGGAATCTAGTGGTGCACTAAGAATAAAATAATTATAGATTATACATTATCTACTAAATTTGTTATAAAAATGTTATATGCCTTTATCTGTCATTTACCACTGGCTCTTCTTTTGTCACTTATAATATTTCAAGGAAATTTACCACTAATTCTGTATGATCTAAGCACAGTACTTTATTTACATAAAATACTTATCACAAAACTATAAACTAAAACATATATTTTAATGTGAAAAATGAAAAACTGACTTCCAAATTTTCTAAGTAAAAAAAATTTATTTTACCTTACTGAAAAATGAATTTGCTTTAACGTGCTTATAAAACTAAAACAATAGTGAGAGAGAGAAAGAGAGAGAGAGGGATGAAAAAGAAAAACCAAAACCAAAATAAAAAATTCTGCTGGTGATTTATATTTCATTATACTAACTATAAAATTGAGAAGGGTGTGAGCATGACCACCAAAATCAAACTTTGTTATCATTCCCAATAAATCCCTGTGCATCTTTATAGACACTCCATCTCCTGGTAACTACAGATGTTTTGCGACCTTATTTTATTACCTTTTCTAGAATGTTATAGAAATGAAATCATACTATATGTAGCCTTTCAAATATGGCTGCTTTCATTTAACATAAGGCATTTGATACTAACCGATGTTATTGCATTCATTAGTAGTTTATTCGTTTTCATTCCATTATATAAATACAATTATTTGCTTATCCATTTGTCAACTAAAAGACATTTGAGTAGTTTATAGTTTTGTAAATTGTAAATAAAGCCATTACAAACACTTGCATAGTTATTTTTTTGTTGTCATATCATTTGCATACTTTGCTAAAAATAAAATTGCTAAATGGTATATGAATGTTTATCTTTAAGAAACTTCCAAACTGTTTTAAAATGTTGCTCTACCTTTATGATACATAATTACTCTTTATAATAAGCAGTACTTGGTATTGTCAGTACTTTTATCCTGTTTTTTTGTATTACTATTTTAATGAGGTCTTTAGTGGTAACTCCTAGTGGTTTTAATTTGAATTCATAAGTCTTGTATGCTATAGTGTCTGTTGAAATAATTCTGCCATCTTTTAATGGGATTGCTATTACCTTTCGGTCATGTTTTTTTATGTTCAGGATAAAAGTTCTGGATGAGATTTTTAATTTGTAATTATTTTTCTCATTTTCTCACTTGTATTAATAGTACGTTTAACTAACAGAAGTCCTTAAATCTGATAAATTCCAATTTGTCATTTTCTAATTTTATGGAATGTGCTTTTGGTTATACCTGAGGAATTTTTGCCTCACCCATGGAAAAAATCAGTTTTCTTCTTTTTTTTGCTTTCTAAAAATTTTATAGTATCATATTTTACATTTAGGTTGGTAATACACATTCAGTTAATTTTTGTAAATGATGACATGTACAAAATGATATTACTTTTGTATATTAAACTGATTTATTACAATTTGTGGAAAAGACTATCTTTTCTTCATTGAATTACATTTGAATATTTGTTGAAAATCAATTTCAACTTGTTGAAAAATCATACACTTGTCAGTTTAATGCTGTACTCTTAATTACGTTTCTTTAATGCCGTAGTTTCATAACTAGTTTTAGAACAAATCTTTGAATTGAGTCATCTGAGTCAAATAACTTTGCTCTTTTCCAATAACCTTTTGTTATTATGTTTTCTTTGTCTATCAATGTAAATTTTAGTGTCAGCTTTTCAATTTCTATAAAACGACTGCTAGAATTTTGGTTGAAATTGCATTGAATCTGTAAGTCTTTCGAAGAAAGTTGACATTTTGAGTTTCTCAAACCATGAATTTGGTATCACTCTTCATTTATTTAGATCTTCGACTTTTTCATCAGTGTTTTAAAATCTTAGTTTACATAATCTGCATGTATTTTATTATTATTATTGTTATTTATACCCAGGTGTGGTGGCTCATGCCTGTAATCCCAACACTTTGGGAGGCCGAGGTGAGCGGACTGCTTGAGCTCAGGAGTTGAAGACAAGGGGCAACACAGGGAAACTCCATCTCTAACTAAAAAAACAAAAAGTAGCTGTGCATGGTGGCACACACCTGTGGTACCAGCTACTAGGGAGGCTGAGATGGGAGGATCCCTTCAGCCCCGGTGGCACAGGTTTCAGTGAGCCAAGATCAAGCCACTACACAGAAGTCTGGGTAACAGAGTGAGACCCTGTGTCAAAATAAATAAATAAATAATACAATTTAAAAATTGAAAATTAAAAAAATAAATAAAAGACCCTGGCAGATTGCTTGAGTCTCTCAATATGTAATATTCCTGCTGTCCCTTTGCTTTCTGCCATGAGTGAAAGCTTCCTGAGACCTCATCAGAAGCCATGCAGGTATAAGTGCCATGCTTGAGAAACCTGCAGGACCATGAGTCATATAAACCTCTTTTCTTTATAAAGTACTCAGTCTCAGGAATTCCTTTATAGTAACACAGAACAGACTAACATGAGGTATAAACAGTGCAGCTATATTGGAAGGTAGAAAAATGCAACTGCTTCATTTTTTTTCCTGTGATTTTTTTTAATGGACATATAAAGACTTTTTTTTTTCAACTTTCTTTTAAATGCAAGGGTATATGTGCATGTTTGTTATGTAGGTAAATTGTGTTATGGGGTTTGGTGTACAGATTATTTTGCCACCCAGGTAATAACCATAGTATTTGATAGGTAGATTTTAGATCCTCACCCTCCTACTATTATTAATTTTGATGCAACTATAGATGTTCCTTTTTGGTAAATTTTATTTCCAATTGGTCACAGATGATATTTAGAAATGTGATGAACTTTCAGATATTGACCTTGTACGTTTTTACCTTGCTAAGTCATTTATGAGTTCTAATATCTTTGGTTATTTAGAATTCTCTGTGTAGCAATCACATTGTCTGCAAATAGTTATAGTTTACTTCTTTTTTTTTTCTCATTTTGTAGTAGCTTGACTTTTGGCACAATGTAGAATAAGAGTGGTGAGAAAGGCTATGCTTCATTGTTTCTGATAGTAGAGGGTGAATATTTAGACTTTCAGCATGGCTAAATATAGGATTTTGTATACACCTTTATCTGGTAAAGGAAGTTCCCCTATTGTCCTAGTATTTTGAATGTAGTTATTATAAATAACTATTGAATTTTATAAAATGTTTTGCTTCTTCTGTTGAGATGATAATGAGTCTTCATCTTTAATTTGTTGATGTTGTGAATTGCATTGATTGAATTTGAATGCTGAACCATTCCTAAGATAATGATATTCCTAGGATAATTTCCATTTGCATTATATTTTGGATGAATAATTTCCATTTGCATTTTATTTTGGACACATGATTATATTCAAAATCTAGTATATGTTGTATGTTTGAGAATTTACGCTCATGGGGTACATTGGTTTGTAATTGTAGTTTCTTGAATTGTCTTTACTTTGTTGTCAAGTCAGATTAATTGCTTTGTTCCATAAAATGAGTTTGGAAGTTTTGTCACTTATATATTATGGAAGAGTTTGTGTACGATCAGTGTAACTTTTTCATTAAATGTTTGGTAGTGTTTGTAAGTAAACACAATGTAGTTTCAAATTGTCCTTATTTAAATGTTTTAACTACAAATTTTATTTAATGTCTGAAACATGTATGAAGTATTTATGTTTTCTGTTTTTTCTTGATGTATTTTGGAAGTTTTTGTCTTTCAACAATGCCACCATTTTATCTAGGTGGTCAAGTGTGTAGTGCATTGCTATAAAACTGTTTGTAGAGTAGTGATCTTTTAGTAACTTTCAAAATATTTGTACCAAATTTGATTTCTGATACTTGTATATTGTATCTTCTCTCTTCCCACTGCCTCTCCCCTCAACAAACCTTGGTCAATCTGGCTAGTGCTTTATTACATTTATTGATCTTTTCAAAGAACTAATTTTTGGTTCCATTTTTTCATGATTATTTTTCCATTCTTCATTTTATTGCTTGCTGCTCTTATCTTTATTTTTTTATTCTCCTGCTTTTTGTTTAATTTATGTTTTGTTTTTTACTATGCTAATGTATAAAATTAGATAACTGATTTGAGACTTTCTTCTTGTCTTCTTTTCCTGCATTGCTATAAATTGCAATGTGAGCACCTCTTTAGCTGTTCCTTACAAATTGTGTTCTTATTTTCACTGCATCCAAATATTCTCTAATTTTTCTGTGACTACCTATTTAACCAGTGGGTTATTGCAGCATACAACTGTAATTGTGTTTTTGTGTATTTGTTAATGTAATTGTATGATTTATGCTTAATATTATAATTTATGATTAATATAATTTATGCTTAATTTTAAAACTCATTCGTTAGGTGTGTATACATTTAAATTTGTTATTTTTTTGTGAATTGTATCCTTTATCTCTACGTAATATCTTACTTTATCTCTGGCATTATTACTTCTAAATATCCTTTGTCTAATACTAATATAACCACTCCAAGTTTCTCTTGATTCATGCTTGCATGTTTTATTCACCTGCAGCCTTTTACTTTTAACTTATCTATGTTGTTCTATTTAAAGTTCATTTTTGTAAATACATAATTGTTTGATTTTGCTTATTTGATATATTCTTATACCCTGTGTTCTTTATTTGGTATACTTAGGCTGTAACTACAGTTACATTGTATTAGAATCTGCTATCTATGTAGTTATTTCTTTATTTATCCCAATTGTTTTTTTGTTTCTTTTTTCCCTCTTTTTCAGCCATTTTGGGAGTAATAGATTTTTTCCTCAGTCCATTTTATATTTATTTTTGGTTGATTTTTATACTTCTTAAAATATTAAATATATAATATATATTTTTAACTAATGGCAATCTTATTTAAAATATTGTCTCATTTTGTATTTAGTTTAAGGATCTAATTTGTATTCTAGTTAAGCAAGAAATTTTAGCTGAATTCTTCTAACTGGTTTTGTTGGTATCTGGCATTGTATTTAGTTTAAGGATCTGAAAATTGTGTATTCTCAATTGCCCCACCATCTTTTGTGCAACTTTTGTTATGACTTTACTTTTACAAAGTTATAAACACAAACTTAATTGCTATTATTTCTCCTTTAATCTTTTTTTTAATTTAATATAAAGACAGGCTTGGTGGCACACACCTGCAGTTTCAGTTACTGGGGAGGCTGAAGCGGGAGAATAGCCTGGGACTAAGAGTTCAGTGCTGTAGCATACCATGATCCCACCTGTAAATAGTCACTACACTGTAGGCTTTGCAACAAATATAGCAAGACCCTGTCTCTAAAATAAATAAATAAATAAATAAATAAATAAATAAATAAATAAATCTTTAAAAAAATACTTCGCATTTACCTTAATTGATGACAGTTTTAGAGCTCTTAGTTTCTTCATATAAATCCAAGTTTTTTTTCTGTATCATATTCCTTTTGCCTGAAGCAGTTGTTTTAATATATCTTGTAAGAAGTCTGCTATCTTCTCACAGCTTTTGTATTTCTGAGAAAATCATGACTTACCCTTCACTTTTGAAAATGAGTACGGGATTCTTCATTAATCATTTTTTTTCTGTTGAATATCTTCAAGAATATCAGTCTTGCCTTGTGGATCATACAGTTTCTGATGATAAATTGGTACTTCTCATTTTGATCCTCTGTATGTAATGAATTTGTTTCTCTTGATTCTTTAAGATTTTCAACTTCTCATTAATTTTTAGCTCTTTGAATATTATGAGCTAAGGGTGTTTGTTTCTTCATTTGTTTTATCCTTTCTAATGTTATCTGAGCTTGTTGGATCTTTGTTTGGATGGCTTTTAATAATTTTTATAAATCCCAAACATTATATCTTCATATTTATTCTTTTTCTCTTCTCAAGTTTCAAATTTAGTTACACCATTTAAAATGCATTTTCCATGGCTTTGTTTTTTTTCTCACTTTTAATTTCATTTTGCTTCAGTTGAGTACTTTCCATTGGTCTATCCGTCAGTGTCCCTGTTTCCTCAATTGTGTTGATTTGAGAGTCAACTCAAAGGCATTTTTTATCCTTTTTACTGTGTTTACATTTATATCATATTCATGTCCTTCTTATTATCCTCGAGTCTCAGCTGATAGTAGTCATTTCTTTATGCATGTTGTTCATCTTCACTGTAACATTTAACACAAAAATTATATCTATATTGAATCCCCGGTTTAATAATTCCAACACCTGGATCATTTCTGAATCTGATTCTTTTGATTGCTCTATTTCTTGACAGAGTGTGTTTTAATGCTTGATCCTCCACAGTTTAATTATTATTGGCTGACTGTCAGATTTCTTTTGTTTGACAGTAGAAATTATAGTATATATTTTTTATTCCTGAAAATAGACATTCATTTTTTTTTTCTAGTGTGGGATGTTTATTCAAGGAAACCTGATCTAGGTTTCAGATTTTTTGTTGCTGCAGTTACTCTTAGGGAACAACGGGCTTTAAATTTCTCTACTGTTACCTGGTAGTTAGATTACAGCAGATTTTCTATTGGGTTTTCCTCAACGTTTTCTCCATGCTCAGTTTAGTATTCTCTTTACACCGATGATTACAAAATTGTCTCTGCTTTCTCCCCTCCCCTCCTCCAGCAGTCAATTGCAGTTTTCGTTTGTTTCATTTTTCTTAAGTCGTGCTAACCTTTTCTTGGACATGCTGTTTTGTTGTTATTGCTCAGCATGTTTTGTCTTGTGGATAAGACTTGCTCATTCATCTTCTTGCCCCTCCTCCCATCAGTAGATGGTTCTTAATTATCTAAGGCTTTCTCCTGATTGCAACAGGTCTATACCTGTGTTCTGTGGGTGAGGAGGTTTGACACCCTTCCCACTGTGGCTTAAGGCCTTTTTTGTCATATGGGAGGTAGAGGAAAAGGGGCTGTGTGAGGCTTCATGCTATCTCCACAGCCGTTGCTGTTGTTCTCCCTGAGGCTTGAACCACAAGGGTAGATTTTGCTCATCTCTGGCATTGACGCTCATCTTTCTGGCGTGCTCCTAGAGATATTTTTAGAGAAAAGCCTGAGTAGGTGTATGGACACCCCTTTGGTATGCAGCTAGTAAATGTTCCACTCTCATACTAATCCAAATAAATACTGTCTTCAGCAATTGGCTAGAAATTTTAGCTGAATTTTTCTAACTAGTTTTGTTGGTATGTGGCATAAATAGCCTGTACATACCTTCCTATGGTTGAAATAAACTAAAAGTTATCTGTTTCCACCTTGTCATTTAGTAATCAGGGTTCTGAAGTTTACAATGATACATTGATGTAATTCTAAAATGTAGGTCTAGCTATTGTTACCTATGTCCAATATTCTTTCAATTTTTTCCATGTTAGAGACGTTTCCTAAGGAAAATGTGTCTGTCTTTTTTCATCATTGTACCTTTAGTCTCTCGAAGTATGTCATGCATAAAGTGGATGCTCAGTTAACATTTATTTAACGAATGCTTCATTCTGCCAAATACTCTTATCTCATCATTAAATCTAAATCCCTTTAATAATGATTTATGAGGGCAGGTGCGGTGGCCTATGCCTGTAATCCCAGCACTTTGGGAGGCCAAGGAGGGTGGATCACGAGGTCAGGAGATTGAGACCATCCTGGCTAACACGGTAAAACCCCATCTTTACTAAAAAAATACAAAAAAAAAAAAAAAAAAAAAAAAAGCCGGGCATGGTGGTGGACGCCTGTAGTCCCAACTACTCCGGATGCTGAGGCAGAAGAATGGCTTGAACTTGGGAGGCGGAGTTTGCAGTGAGTCGAGATCGGGCCACTGCACTGCAGCCTGGGTGACAGAGCAAGACTCCATCTCAAAAAAAAAAAAAAAAATAGATTTATGAATCTCAGTGAATAAAGTATAACAAATTAAAACAAAAGGGGAAACACAATAGATATGATTATCTTACTTATAGGCAGAGCAAGATAGTTTTCTACATGTGTGAGTAGTTGAAGTACTTTTGCCCCATCTCCAAAGCATCTGCTAATATCTCCATTCCATGAATGGACATTTTTGTTTGTTTGTTTTAATATATTTCTTCAAACATATTAAACAAAAACATCCCCTAGAGCAGAATAAATCATAAAAAAATTAAGTTACATTAATTAAGTTTATGGATCCAGTAGAAAAAAACAAAGTGAAGGATATTAGGAAACTTTCCCCAAAATATGGCACCCTGGTATGCTATTTTTAAATTAAATATCCTTGAATGTTATCTGATGCTGAGCAAGGCTCTACTCTATTATGTTATCTACCTTAAGACTAGTGCCTGCCAAACAGAATACAATTGCCTTCCATACACTCCCTAAAATCTTATCTATCTATCTAACTATCTATCATCTATCTATCTATCTATCTATCTATCTATCTATCTATCTATCTATCTGTGTGTGTGTCTGTCTGTCTGTCTGTCTATCAATCTATCTATATTTAGAAAAAGAAGACTAAGGAATGGAACTACCCCTGGGCAGACATTTTCACAAGATAATATCTGCCCCTTGGATTCATTCAAATTCCAAAGGGAATCATTCAAAAGTTAATTTCTGTCTCTGGGCCCATTTCTTCTTCAGAATAATCACTATTTTTCAAAATAATTACTTACATTCCCCATCTCCCTCCTCCCTTATGAAGAAGGGTATATAAGCTTCGTACCTCATTGGGTTATTGGATAATCATCCTTATGCAGTTACCCCATTCTTTTGCACATTAAATCAATCTGTATGCGTTTTCCCCTCTTTATCTACTGTCAGTTTGTTTTTAAGAAACTTTGAGAGGGCAGAGAGGATGCTTTTCTTTGGTTCCCACATAATCAATAGTAACAGAAGAGTATTGTCAGTTATTGGGATTGAGGATTGGAGTGAAACATGAATGAACTTTTATTGACTATGTAGGATATATAAGTGCAACTTTTAATGTATTTCTTTAGTGTTAAAAAAAATAAATTAATTCCATAGTCATGCTTTTTATAAATGAAAGAATTTCGTCCTCAGAAATGTTTGGCAATTTGCCCTAGTTACTACATGGAGTGAATGAGTAAACCAAAATTCATAGCTGCTTCAATCATCTTGTACTTTTCCACTAGCTAAAATGTCTGAGATTAGCAAAATAAAAATATAGAAAGGAAAGTAAACAGATGAGATTTCGAATATTGCTCTCTGTCACTGGGCTACAAGAAAAATGATGATGTAAGGATACACTTTTAGATACTGACAGGTTGAGGGTTTTTGTCATTCTCTTTAGACCCATTTGAAGTAGAACAGTGAGAAGCAGGTTATCATCACTTTATTTAAGCTTCATGACGTACTTTAAAAAGAAAACTTACTGGAAAATGGCTTCAACAAATAAGCAATCACTTCCATTTTTATGTGTTAATTCCTTGTGGCTACAGAATAATTTTGACTGGCCATTTGGAGGTTTTGGAGACCTTCGTCTAGCACCAACTGAATTTTTAAGAAATTCAATTCTTATTTCCTTCATACATAGTCATAGAAAAAGAAGAAACTACTTACAAAAGGGATTTTTAAAAATATATCTGAGAATAATAGACTTTTCTTTTGATCTTTTGAATAAGTAAGCTTGTTACCCTCTTCCCTTTCACGTAAAAAAAGTGAAGTACTGTATTGTTAATCATTTCATGGACTGTGACTACTAACATTCTTTAATTATCTTGTTAATCAGTGTAAATGTCACTGGTTAAAATATTCATACACTGAATCTATGTCATCCATTAGTCCAATTAATTAAACACTTGAAGTTATTTATTGATTCATAAAAATAAGTGGATACAGTTCATATACTTCTATAAAATTTACTGAATTAAAATTTTGTATACGAGCTATATTTATCTTCCCTTCACTTTTTCACCTTCAAATCAGAATATTTCAAATTTTTTGATGTTTCCATTCCCTTTATTTTACTTTACTAGTCATCATTATAAAAACTGAAATCAATTTTTACTTTTTTTTTTTTTTTTTTTGAGACAGAGTTTTGCTCTTGTTGCCCAGACTAGAGTGCAATGGCGCCATCTTGGCTCACTGCAACCTCTGCCGTCAGGGTTCAAGTGATTCTCCTGCCTCAGCCTCACGAGTAACTGGGATTACAGGCTCCCACCACCATGCCCAGCAAATCTTTGTATTTTTTCTTCTTTTTTCAGTAGTGGCGGGATTTCACCATGTTGGCCAGGCTGGTCTGGAACTCCTGATCTCAGGTGATCCACCCGCCTCAGCCTCCCAAAGTGCTGGGATTACAGGCATGAGACACTGTTTTTACTTTTGAAGTTAAACAAAACAGGAGCAACTGTGGAAAAAAAAAAAAAAAAAAAAAAAGTCTTGCCTTTACAGAGCTTGCTTTTTAATGAAGGAAGGCAAACTGTACATTATAAAGAGGGCAAACAAGTAGATTATACAGTATGTTAGAAGTTAGTAAGTGATATGGGAAAATAGAGATCAGGATGAGGAGGAAAACAATTTAAGTAATTTAAATGAAATGGTCAGGAAAGACCTCATTAAGAAATAGGGAAAGGACCAAAAACTGCTATTGCCTTCACAGATTTCCTCGGAACCGAACTCCTTTCAGTTTCCAAACACTCCTCAATATCTCCTGAATCCTTGCTGAACAGAATTTCTTCCATACTTTCAGGCTTTTAGAAAGGATATAGAGGCTCGACTCTAGGATGACTGGCTAAAATCCACAAGGCAACGAGCTGTAATCTCTTGTAAGTGAACTAATGAAAGAGGAGAACTATGGAGAGAAAACACGAAGTAATATTTCAACTAATAATTGGAAATCAAAGTTTTTTACTCCCGAAAGTGAATAAATTTAACTTAATAAACACATACAGTGATAGTTACCATTGACACAATTATTCATTAATGTGGAAGAAAACTGTAGGCTTTAGCATGTCATTTTATATAGTATGTATTGGGCCAGCAATAAATTGTCAATTATTCTGATTTTATATACTTTTCAATTTCAAAGGATCAAGAAGAAATAGTGTACATTAATATCCTGTGGAGTCCTCCAAAGATTCAATTTTAAAGTTGTTTTCTCTGCAAACTAGTGTCCTGCCCTAAATAATAGACAAACCATTTAAATAATTTGAACTTTAGCTTTTTTAATATAGTTATAAACTACTTTCTCATATTTTACCTGATATTGAAAATAATGTAATTTACAAAATCATATTTTATTTTCAAAACACACCCTATCGCTCAGAATACAATTTTAAAACTTCTTTCAAATGTACAAAACAAATGCATTTTTATTTGTAAAATAATATATCAAATACATCATCATACAATTTCATCCAAACCCTAGTATTCAAATAAGCAAATATCTTTACTATGATAATTTATTACCTATTTCCCCTTAAATTCACCCGAGGAACAGTTTTATTTTTAAGAAATTAAGAGAGAAATAATTATATATTAGCTCTATTTTTATATTGATAATATTTTCCGTTATTTGAAAAACTTTGAATTGCATGAATCCATATTATATCATTTTAATAGTTAAATAGCTAAAACTAATAGAATTTTATATTTCCAGAATATGAATAAAATAGAAATTTTGACTGTTTAAGTTTGTTCTAGTAGTCCATCATTACTAAAATAGACAACTTCATTTAAAAATATGTATTTATATATCACCAGTACCATAAAACTTATTCTAAATTATGCTACAGCTATGTAAACAAGTTAGACATCAATTGTATCTTTTATTTTTTGTGAGGAGGGACAGTGTGTGAGTACTAAAAATCCTCTTTGGACTTCTTGTTTTTCTGTATTTCTTGCTGAGTATGCTAAGAATACAAGGCCCTGACCACTTTTCACCTCTGCCATTTTGTAGGGTGTGTGTGCAGTAACCTTGGGAGATGATGTATTACCAGACAAAGAGTATGTTTGCTTACTGCTTGATATGAAAGGAGTAGATCCCCTAGGTCAGTGTTTTCCCTCAGCTGTGAAGCAAACCCATTGTAAATGCAATATCCACCCAGGCTGCTTCACATGGCCCTTGTGAGACTTGGGGACAAAGAGAATGGATAGAAATATGTTCATGATGACTATAGATGCTTTGTGTTCTGGAATCAATAAAATCTCTTAACTCTAACTCAGGAGTCTCTTGTCTTCTGCCAGCATATGTAACAGCCGCAGGTTAACATATTAAGTAGTAAGTAGGATCAAACTAAATCCCAGATCCAACAAAGAGCAATATATTAGATTGGTGCAAAAGTAATCTTCATTACAAAAACTGCAATTACTTAAATAACTGAGTTATTCGAAAAAGATTAGGTAGAAAATATAGTTCCTTTCCAAAATTTATTCATTCATATAACACACATATTCACGAATACAAATACACTGAGGAGATGCCAGAATTCTGTCTAACATAAAAATGTCTCTTTAATTTAGAATTCCATAAAGTGTTTTATTTTTCAGATACATTATATCATGTTTTTATACAAAATGAATAAGTCACAGTTTTAGAAATCTGTTTTCTTGTATAAAATAGAGTTCAATTCAGTAATTCCATAGCATCTGAGAAATCATTCTGTATAAAGAAAGCAGTGTTTGGCAGTATGAACTTATGATAATTCACATGGTCAATCTAATGTAAATTCTTAGTCAATATATTTTTTTTAATGACAGTGTCTTACTTCCTAGGCAGAAAAAAAAATGAAGTCCAGTTCTTTACTTCAAAATAATTACAATGAATTGTTGTCAAAATAAATCGAAATAATCACTTTGGTCTGCTGTTTGATATATGTGAGCTAAAGTAGGCCTTTAGTTAAAAAAAAGGAAAATTAAGTTTATTTTTACAAAAGGTATCTTAAAACACTTAATTTTTTTCTTAATCCTTTATTATATTCTTTCTAAGATGCACTGAGCTGTTTCAAATGGAAGACAGCACACAGAGGGAGCTTGCGTAAATTCCAGCTTTTTCATTCAGCTGAATTGATTTTGGTTTTTATAACAAGGACCCATAATATTAGCCACCATGGACTGGCTTTTATGTTTTTTTATAGTTACTATGGTATTTTCATTTTCTGTAATAATGATAAATATGGCAAAACCCACTTTTAACACTTTATGGGACAGAGGGAACTGTTACAAAAGTAGGAAAGAATAAAAAGAAATAAACAAGCATGTTGCCTAAGAACTTTAGTAGCCTGGTAATAATAACATGTACTAAAATTGCAACTCATATTTTTAATAAGCAAAAGTATAAACTCTTAAACTGTAAAACTACCACAAGAGTAAGCAGGCATCGTCTAGCAAGGATATTTATACTTTTATGCCGATACTACAGCTAGAGGACAATTGAGTAACAAAAATCAACTATAGAAGAAAATGCTCTTGCTCAATAAAATAAGTAATTGAGTAATAATCGAGCAACAAAGTTAACCATAGAAGAAAATACACTTGCTCAATAAAAATAATCAGCAATTCAGCCAGAAAATGTTCATACTGCCCACATAAATTGCAAGAGGCCTGTGAAATCATACTCCACCTGTCATTTAGAACTTAGAACTTAGCATGTTTTACTGGAATTTTCTCTGCTAAATGATAGAGGCAGAAATAAATTCTGAGTACAAGTCTAGGTCATTAAGTAGCAAAAGCAGAAATGATAAGTTGATACAGAACTTAGATGAGAACCAGAAGCATTTAAAATAAATCAGATAGCCTGGAATTCCAGTTATAGTGTACAGTTTATATATTGACATTTTAATAGCAGAGACAAAAATGCCCAATAACCAAATCACTTCTGATATTTCCATCAAAGTATGAAAGAGTATGTATGGGGTGTGAATGTTCACATAAGTAACTGGTGAGAAGTGGGACCAGGAGAGAAATGGTAGGGCTGGTAGTAAATAGTGAGTGAGAAAAAAAAGAAGGGTTATGGCAATAATGACCGAACACCCTTTTGGAATGCCGTGTTAGATTCTTAACTAGCTAATATTTTCTTAAACTCATGACAAGCTCCTCATATTTTTGGTGAATTTCTGAAGACATCTGAAAGCAGAGGTAACTTTCTAGAGTGACTTTATATTTGAGACAAATTATATTTGTTACAAAATTCAAGCATATCTCAAGATATACCTAAAGCAATATAAATGCAATTAATAAAGTATGCATAATAAATATACAAATTATAAGTATTTATGACTACACTTGCCAGCTAAATAATTTCTGCAACTGTTGCATCACTTAGATTACGAGTATGATATTTCATTGTGGTGTGTGTGCCTCTTACTACAGTTGTAAATTTAAAAATATATTGTTTTAGGCCAGGCGCGGTGGCTCACGCCTGTAATCCCAGCACTTTGGGAGGCCGAGGCGGGCAGATCACGAGGTCAGGAGATGGAGACCATCCTGGCTAACACGATGAAACCCCGTCTCTACTAAAAATACAAAAAATTAGCTGGGCGTGGTGGCGGGCGCCTGTAGTCCCAGCTACTGAGGAGGCTGAGGCAGGAGAATAGCATGAACCTGGGAGGCAGAGGTTGCAGTGAGCTGAGATCATGCCACTGCACTCCAGCCTGGATGACAAAGCGAGACTCCGTCTCAAAAAAAAAATTGTTTTAATGTATGTTAAACATACATATAGACTCACTGACTCTGTGATAACACTGTTGTTATTACATAGAAGGTTCAGAAAGTATTTGTAAAATGAATGTTGAGAAATGGATCTGGGTAGAGTGATAAAATGTATAGGGGACCACTGTGAGAGAGCATTTGCAGAACTAGAAAATAAAGACCTAGCTGCGGGCTACGCCCGTCCAAGTGGCTATCAATACCTTAGTATGGAAAGCATATGAAAATTCTCCAAGGAGCTTTTTGCTTTATGTGGCAGTAACTCATTTTATTTCCACATCTTAGATTTTTTTTAACAAATTGTGCTAGTTTCTATTGCTTCATTCATTTTGTACTATAGTTCTTTTCACTAAAGCATCATTGACTTGTTAATAGAACTCCCACTGGAATTTTAGGAATTAACTTTGTTGAAGTTTGGTAAAATTTCATATGGACAGTATAGTGTTAGTAGTTAAGAACATCAGTTTTGAAGCTACATTGTCTGGGTTCAAATGCCTTTCTGGTTTTTTCCTAAGTATGTGAATATGCATATTAAAATAGCAGCTACCATATAGGATTATACTCAGGATTATATAAGTTAATAAATGCAAATATTTGGCAGATTCTAAAAAATCAGCGAAGGTAAAAGTTCCTTATAGTTGCCATTATTTAATAATGTTATAAGAGAGTATATTGGCTTAAGTCCAGTACAAAATATATTCGTCCCTAACATATGCTTAATAGCTCAAAATTTGCTTTAATAGTTGCTTTTCATTTAGTTAATCTCAGCATATTCATTATATAATAAAAAAGAAACTAAATTATTATGAATTTAGTTCTACAGCTAAAATCTAGGAACTGCTCATGAACTTTATAATTCTATGGTAATTGAAACCCTCCAATATCCCAGAGGAAAGAATCTTTGATATTACCAAATAGAGGTAGCTGAGCAGTTTAGCTCTCCTAAGGTCCATGATGACATTCTAACGACGTCAACAGTTTTCCAAACTGCCTGACCAGACATCATATGGCTACCAATGTTCTACTTGAATAAACAAACAAATAAAATGAGTCTTGGGTCATGACAGCTTTCTAATAATTGTAAATTCCAATATTTAAAAATAAACACAACTTTTGAATAAGATCAACAGCTCTCCACTCATGGCCATGAAAATTGTCCATAAAATTGTACAGCATTGTATTTTCCCCTTCAGCTTACCTAAGCAGCTAGCTACTTGCTGAGTTTCCAAGCATTATCCCTCTAAGAATTTTTCCTTGTTGGGGACTCTTCAGTCTTCAAATAGTGACTCCCAAACTTATGAAGTTGAACATCAGTACTTGCGATAGGCTGAAGAAATACCTCCCAAAGATATCCATTTCCTAATCCTTAGAACATTTGACTGATACCTTATATGGTAAAAGGGACTTTGCAGATAAGATGAAATTAATGATATTGAGATGGAAATATTACCTGAGTGGGCCTGATATAATCATCATGGTCCTTTTAAGAAATAGGTTGAATATCAGAGAGAAAAAAAGATACTGTGATAATAAACAGATCTGAGTCATATAGCCAGAAGCCAAGGATTGCTGGTAGCCTCAAGAATCTGTAAGAAGCAAGGAACTCTTTCTGATAAACCTTAATTCTAACTCCATGAGATATGCACTAGACAACTGATCTACAGAAGAGTAAGAGAGTAAGTTTGTGTGTTTTAAGCCGCTAAATTTGTGGTAATTTTTCATGTCAGCAATTGAAAACAAATACAATATTTTTCTTTATATATATTTGAAGAGAGCAAATGGGGTAAATTTAAGAAGGAAAATGAAGTGCCTCAAATGTTTGTGAGGTTAAACTTGTATTTCTAATCTATGAACTTTAGGAAGGGCTTCAAAATGTAAATTTCAGTTCTCAAAAAAGGCTTTGTCTAGAACATAAGTGATTTTCATAATTTTTCACATTCTGTAGTCCCGTAGTCTCACATTCTATAATGCATTATGAAGATGATCTAAAACAAAATCTTTTTACCTTTGAATATCCTTACAGAGGCAATTATCATAGTTGTTAATATAGAATCACCTAATTTTGAATGACTCACAAATCTTTTAAATTGGCATAGTAGTTACTGTAGTAGCTCAATATCCTACAGACATTTGTACAGAAGAGATTTCTGCAGAAAAAGCAGTATTGCTATGTGTATGCTGTAAATACCTTAAAAACCACAATGTACTCAGCTTATGTACGGATCTTTTTAAATTTCAGGGTTAACTTCCCATCTGAAACAGAAACATTTATCAAACATGAAAAGTGAGTATAAATTGTATGAAGCATAATGCAAAATTTAAGAATTGAGCATGTATAATCTTTTAGAAAAATAATCTTTTAGAAAATATAAATCTTTTATAATCTTTTAGAAAAATAAGTATTTATAATATTTTGGTAAATAATATTAAATATTGCCAAATAAATTAATTGCCTCAGTACATAGAATATGGGGCTTATGACCACATTAAAGTATGGTTCAAATATTTTCTTGTTTCTTTATAACTTTTAGAGAGGAAGAATCTTTCCAACATAGAATACTAATAATCTAGTTTCAGATCTGAAACTGAATACAGAATCAATCTTTTTACCTTAGAAGGAACTACTACTGCAAGATACGTCAGTTTTAAGTTGAAACATAAAGTATGTCATGGCTTGGGTCATCTTAATAGTATTAACATTTATTGTGGAATAAAAGTACTAAGCATAGTTGTATATACTTATTCCAGTCATGCATGTTTATCTACCTTTACATTAAAATATGTTTTTCTTCCTCATTTCCCCTAAAGTGTAATTTTATGGTAAGCAGTATCATAAATCAAATGAAGGTTGGATTCTAAGTGAATAAGAAATCATTACTAAGATGGGTTAGAAGAAGGAAACTGTAGGAGAATGTCTGTCTAATCTCTCAAAAGACCTAGGTTCTAGACTTTGATCCATTACTTTTGCACTATGTCAACTTGGGTTAATCAAGTTTGTTGTACAGATGCTACTGTCTCTACTCATAAGTGTATTTAATAATAACTACATTAGGTCAAAAGATACATCAATTGATGTATATTAAAAGATATTTTAACATTTCACTTACTATATCAATTTTCAAAGTTAAATAAATCCATTTGAAATCCCCATCAAAAGAATATTCATCCTGGGCCATATTATAAACCATGATTATTTGTATTCCTTTACTTCTCACCATATATATTTTTCTATAGTACTTTCTTGTCAGTGGTAGCACAGTAGGCTTTAATGATCAGATCAGGCATTGAATGTGTCAAATATTACAAATTTTTATTTAAATTTAAATAAAAGTGTTGTGCTCAGCATGTAGCAATTTATTACATATGTGTAACAGATTGTTTCAAATATACCAGCTTAAAAACATCCATTTATTATCTCACAGTTTCTATAAGTCAGAAGTATAGGCATAGTTTAGCTGTGTTCCCTTCTCTGATCCTACTGTAATCAAGGTGTCAGCTGGAGCTGCAGTTCTCATCTGAGGCTCAAAGTACTCCTCCATACTTATGTGGATGTTGGCAGAATTTATTTCCTGATGTTATAAAACCAAGGTCCTCAGCTCATGAAGTCACCTCACTCTATATGCAGTTCACAAATGGTTGTCTGCTTTCCTTAAGGTCACCATTGTAATGTCTCTTATGCTTCATCTTCTTTTAAAAGACTTCACCCAGTTATGGGAGGCACACCAAGAATTATACCTCTTTTGATTAACTTAATGTCAACTGATTAGGCCCTTTAATTACATCTGAAAAACATCTTTACTCTTGCCATGTAATCTAATCATGAAAATAATATTCATCATATTATCAGATCCCACCTACACTCAAGGATATTGCATTATACAGCGAATGTACACCAGCCATGTATACATGGCTCTTGGGGGCTGTCTTAGAATTCTGGCTACCACAATTATGCAAATGCAATAAACTTCAAGCAAAATCTTCTAACTTTTCTCTGCAACCACTTCTCAAATCACTTCCATTTCCAACAATATTGTCTTTTGGAACACACAATCCCAGTATAGAAATTCTGGAGGTGCAACTGCTATCACCCTGATGATAACTTTCCTCCAAGTCAGGGTTTCTCAACCTTATTTTTAAATTATCACCACCCTGTGGAGTCACTTTAGTCATTTATTTTCCCTAATCGCTCCTGTATAAAATTTTAATACTATAATACATAGCTAGGTAAAGAACGTACAGGGATCTCCCTGAAGTGAGAAAATATAGATCAACCTCCATATCACCATATGTAAAACTTTAATATTATATATGTACATGTATATCTGTAAATAGGCATATCTGTATTTTATACATAAAAAGAGTAAACTTTTTTTTCTATTTACAAACCAATTTGTACTCCTGTCATCTTTTTTTTATTTCTTATTTTTTGCAGGTACATAGAAGGTGTATAAATTTATGATGTACATGAGATATTTTGATACAGGCATACAATGTGTAATAATTATGTCAGGTGAAATGGGGTATGCATCACCTGAAGAACTTATCCATTCTTTGTTAAAAAGAATCCAAATATAATATTTTAGCTATTTTAAAATGTTCTATAAATTATTGTTGACTGTACTAATCCTGCTGTGCTATCAAATACTAGATCTTATTCATTCTATGTAAGTATATTTTTGTTCTCATTAACCATCTCCTCTTACCACCCCCTACTACCATTCCAAGGCACTGGTAATCAATGTTTTACACTCTATCTCCATTAGTCTCATTGTTTTAATTGTTAGCTTTCATAAGTAAGTGAGAACATGCAAGGTTTGTCTTTCTCTGACTGGTTTATTTCACTTAATGTCCTCCAGTTCCATCTATGCTATTGCAAATGACAGGATCTCAAATTTTTTTAGGGCTCAATGGTACTTCATTGTGTATATTGTGAATAGTGCTGCAATAAACATGAGAGTGCAGATAGATAATCTTTTCTATATACTGATTTTCTTTATTTTAGATATGTAGCTAGCAGCAGGCTTGCCTGATCATATGGTGGCTCTAATTTTAGTCTTTTGAGGAATCTCCAAACTCTTCCCTATAGTGATTGCACTAATTTACATTCCCACCAACAGTGTATGAGGGTTCCCTTTTCCTCAGTCCTCACTAGCATGTTAATATCTTTTAGACACAAAGTATCTTAACTGGGGTAAGGCTATATCTGAGGAGAGTTTTGATTTACTTTTACTGATGATCATTGATTTTGAGCACCTTTTCATATAACTGTTTGCTATATCTACATCTTCTGAGAAATGTCCATTTAGATATGCCCATTTTTTAGTTGGATTATTATTTTTTTTTTCTGCAGAGTTGTTTGAGCTTCTCATATATACTGGTTATTAATTATTTGTCAGATGAATAGCTTGCAAACATTTCCTCTCATCCTGTGGGTTTTCACTTCACTTTGTTGAAGATTTCTTTATTGTAGAGAAGCTTTTTAACTTGATGCGATCCCATTCGTCTGTATTTGTTTTGGTTTCCTGTACTTGTGCTCAATAAATTGCTAAAGAAATCTTGGCCCAGTCAGATTTCTTGGAGAGTTTCCCCAGTGGGTTTTCTTTTGGTAGTTTCACAGTTTGAGGTCTTAGATTTGTTGTTTGTCTATTTGGATTTGATTTTGTATATGGCAAGAGAGAGAAGTGTAGTTTCATTCTTCTGCATATTTTCTATCTAGTTTTGCCAGCACCACTTAATGAAGAAACTGTCCTTTCTTCAATGTATGGTCTTGGCATCTTTGTGAAAAATAAGTTCACTGTAGATGAATGGATTTATTTCTGGGTTCTCTATTATTTTCTATTAGGCTATGTATCTGTTTTTATACCAGTCCGGTAATGGTTTGATTACTATAGCTTTGTGGAATAATTCCAAGTCAGGTAATGTGATTTTTTCTAGTTTTGTTCTTTTTGCTCAGAATAGCTTTGGCTATTCTGCATTTTTTGTGGTTCCATATAAAGTTATGCCCTACTCTTCATGGTATCAATTTACTGTATTAGTTTATTTTCACACTACTATAAAGATACTACATGAGACCGGGTAATTTATAAAGGAAAGTAGTTTAATTGACTCACAGTTCCATATGGCTGGGAAAGCTTCAGGAAACTTACAATCATGGCAGAAGGGGAAGCAAGCACCTTCTTTACAAGGCAGCAAAAGAGAGAACAAGTGAAGAGGGAAGAGCCCCTTATAAAACCAACCGATCTCATGAGAACTCACTCACTATCACAAGAACAGCATGCCGGGAACTACCCCTATGATCCAATCACCTCTCACTGGGTTCCTCCCTTGACACATGGGGATTACATTTTGAGATGAGATTTGAGTGGGGACCCAGAGCCAAACCATATCATCAACTTTTTGTTTTGTTGATCTTTTTCATTATTTTCTTTGTTTTAATTTTGTTTATTCTCAGATCTTTACTATTTCTTTGCTTCTACTATTTTGGGTTTTGTTTGCTCTTGCTTTTCTATCTTTCTTTTTGTATCATTAAGTTGTTTATTTGAAGTTTTTCTACTTTTTTTGAGGTAGGCAATCATACCTCTAAACTTTTCTGTTAGTACTGATTTTGCTATATCTCATAGGTTTTTATATGTTATGTTTTAATTATTATTAGTTTCATTTTGGGGGGAATTTTCTTCTTAATCTCTTCATGACCCACTGGTAATTCAGGAGCATATTGTTTAATTTGCATGTATGGAAATTATGGAAATCCATCTATGGAAACTATACATATGTATAGAATACACATATGTATAGTTTCCAGTATACTATAGTTTATAGTATACACATATGTATAGTGTACACATATGTATTACTTTGTAATTTTTATTTACTTCTAGTTTTATTCTATTGCAGTCAGAGAAGATACATGCTATACTTTCAATTTTTTTGAATTTTTAACACTTGGTATGTGGTCTCACATATCATCTATTCTTGAGCGTGATCCATATGCTGAGGAGATAAATGTATATTCTGCAGTCATTGAATGAAACATTCTGTAAATACCTATTAGGTCCATTTAATCTAACGTGCAGATAAAATGTCATCTTTCTTTGCCTTTTTAGTGCCTATCTTAGCTCTAATAATAATTCCTTTATATATGTGGGTGCTCCAGGCTTGGGTACATATGTGTTTAAAATTATTATATCCTCTTGATGAACTTACACTTTACCATTATATAAAGACTACCTTTGTCATCTTGTATACAATTTGTGTTAATGTCTTATATACATATACACTCTTTCTCTTTTTTGATTTCCATTTGCATGAAATATCATTTTCCATTCCTTTATTTTCAATGTATGTGTTTTTACACATAAAATGTTTTTCTTATAAACAATGTATAATTGGGTCTTTTTAAAAAAATTTATTCATCCACTTTATTTCTCTTGATTGGAGAATTTAGTATATTTAAATTCAGTGTTTTTATTGATGAGTAGAGACCTCTTATTTCTGCCTTTTTGTTATTATTTTTCTGATTACTTTGTTGTCTTCCCTTTCTTCTTTCCTTTCTGTCTTTCTTGTAGTGAAGATGATTTTCTCTGGTGTGTTTTAATTTCTTGCTTTTCTTTTTTTTGTAAATTTGTCTCATATTCTTTAATTTGACATTACCACATGGCTTGTAAATAATATCTATGACCCATTATTTTAAACTAATGACAACTTAACACTTGTTGCATAAACAAACTAACAAGCAAAGAAAAATCTAATTAAAACTGTGTACTTTAACTTCATTCCCTCACTTCTTATTTTTTTAATCTTTTATTTTAGGTTCAGGTATACATGTGCATTTTTTCTTGTTTCTGTTTGTATGTTATTATACTGTCTATGTCTTGAAAAGTTGTTGTAGTTATTATTTTTTATTGGTTCAAAATGTAGTCTTTCTACTCCTGATATGAGTAGTTTACACACCACAATTAAAGTGTTATTATTTTTAAGGGGTACTTACTGTTACCAATGATTTGCTCCTTCCGATGATTTCTTAGTCCTTTTCTTTCAGATTAAAAAGCTTCCTTTATCATTTTCTGTAAGACAGATCTGGTATTAATGAAATCCCTCAGCTTTTGCTTGTCTGGGAAAGTCTATATTTCTCCTTTATGTTTGGAAGATATTTTCAACAGATATACTATTCTAGGGCAAGAATTTTTTTCCCTCAACATTAAAAATTTTATGCCACTCTCTCCTGGCCTGTAAGATTTCTACTGAAAAGCCTGCTGCCTGACATATTGAAGCTGTCTTGTATGTTGTTTTTATGTTGTTGTTGTTGGTGGTGGTGGTGGTGGTGGTGGTGGTGGTGTTTTTCTTTTGCTGCTTTTAGGATCCTTTCTTTATCCTTGACCTCTGGAAGACTGATGATTAAATGTCTTGAAGTAGCCTTCTTTCTTTTAAATCTGCAAGGTGTTCTATACCCTTCTTGTATTTGATATTGATATATTTCTCTAGGTTTGGGAATTTCTCTGTTATTATTACTTTGAATAAATTTTCTGCCCCCAATCTCTCCCTCTGCCTCCTTTATAAGGCCAATAACTGTTAGATTTTCTTTTTTGAGGATAGTTTATAAATCTTGTAGACATACTTTATTCTTTTTCATTCTTTTTGTCTCTTGTCTCCTCTGACTGTGTATTTTCTGTAGCCTCTTTTTAAGCTCACTAATTCCTAGGCTTATTTGAATTCATTTCTGGGCTCTCTATTTTTTTTCCACTTGTCTACATGTCTCTTTTTGTGCCAGTATAATATGGTTTTGATTACCATAACTTTGTAATATAATTTTAAATCACAAAGTGTGATGTTTCCAACTTTTTTTTTCTCAGAATTGTTTTGGCAATCTGGGTTTCTTTATGGTTCCTTATGAATTTTAGTATTTTTTTCCATTTTTGTGATGAACACTATTTAAATTTTCATAATAGCTATATTGAATCTGTATATTGTTTGGGTAACATAGATATTTTAACAATATTAATTCCTTCAATCCATGAAAATAAAACATTTTTCCATTTATTTTTGTCTTTCTCAGTTTAACAAACTTCCTTGACAAAAACTATCAACCATTTCAATATAGAAAGTTACTAAGGATAATAAAGGCCATTTATGATAAAAACACAACTAACATTATAATCAATGGAGAAAAAAATGAAAACCTTTCCACTAAGATTTGGTACAAGGCAAAGATGCCCACTCTGGCCACATCTATTCAATATAGTACCAGAAATATTAGCAAGAGCAATCAGACCAGAAAAATAAATAACTAAAAGAAATCCAAATTGGAAATAAAAATGTATAATTATCTCTATTTGCAAATGTCATGATCCCATATGTAACAAAACTCAAAAATTCTGTTTAAGAAACTGTGAATTAATATACAAATACAATAAAGTTGAATAATACCAAAATAATCTACAAAACTCAGTGGCATTTTTACACGCAAATATTGACCTAATTGAGTAAGAAATCAAGAAAACAATTCCATTTAAGACAGTATTAAATAAATAAAATACCTAGCTATAAATTTAGCCAATGAGTTGAAAGAACTATACAATGAAACTTATAAATCCTTATGTTCTTTCTTTTGGGAGGGACTCTTCTAGGTGTTGGATAGAAAATGATGAATAACCTTGATATGTTTAGAATCTTATACAATACTTCTAAAAACTTAGTGTGTATGTATATATATATATATATATGAATATATATATATATATATATATATATATATGAATCTTCTTGAGAGCTTATTAAAACACAGATTCCTGGACACATCAGAGCTTCTATTTCTGTAAGTTTGGGAATGAGGCCCAAGATTCTATATTTCTAACAAGTGTCCAGAGCTGATGTGGCTGGTCTGCACACCACAATTTTATGAGAATTTATTGATACTGTTGCATAAGCCATTTTTTGTAGCAAGTTTATATTCTGCTGAATAGATTCTAGGCATACTTCTTCATTCTACTCAGATTCCTCATATATCCCATTATTTCTACTACTTCTCCTTTCCTTACAATTGCTTCTAGAATGTTTGCTTTCATATACCCAAATCCTGGGATGGCTTGAAATAAAAATATATCTTTCCTCAATAGGAATTCCCTTTCTCTGACAGCTTTTAAAATACCTTATTTTCCTTAATATGCTTATTACCAAAAAGAAAAGGCAGTATTCTTATGTGAAAATGTTGGAAAATAAATCATGCAAGATTCATTTATATGGAAAGTGATATAATTTAGCTCTGTGTCTCCACAAAGTAAGTCAATTAAACCCCTTTCCTTTATAAATGACCCAGTATCAGGTTGTATCTTTATAGCAGTGTGAGAACAAACTAATACAGTAAATTGACACAGCAGAGAGTGGGGTACTGCTGAAAGATAACCTGAAAATGTGGAAGCAACTTTGGAACTGGGTAACAGGCAGAAGTTGAAACAGTTTGGAGGGCTCAAAAGAAGACAGGAAAATGTGGGAAAGTTTGGAACTACCTAGAGACCTGTTGAATGGTTTTAGCCAGAATGCTGATAATGATTTGAATGTTTTGGACAATGAAGTCCAGGCTGAGGTGGTCTCAGATGGAGATGAAGAACATATTGGGAACTGGAGCAAAGGTCACTCTTTCTTGCTTTAACAAAGAGGCTGGCAGCCTTTTGCCCCTGCCCTAGAGATCTGCAGAAATTTGAACTTGAGAGAGATGATTTAGTGTATCTGGCAGAAGAAATTTATAAGCAGCAAAGTAGTTAAGATATAATCTGGTTGTTCCTAAAAGTGTAAGCTCATATGTGTGAAGAAAGAGATGTTCTTAAATTGGAACTTATATTTAAAAGGAAACCAGAGCATAAAAGTTAAAAAAATTTGCAATCTGACCATGAGGTAGAATAGAAAAATCAATTTTCCAGGGAGAAATTCAAGCTGCAGAAATTTGCATAACTAATGAGGAGTTGAATGTTAATTGCCAAGACAATGGGGAAAGTGTCTCCAGGGTATTTTAGAGATCTTCACAGCAGCCCCTTCCATCACAGGTCCAGAGGCCTAGGGTTGAAAAATGAATTCATGGGCCAGGCCCAGGGCCCTGCTGTTTTGTGCAGCCTTGGAATATGGCATCTTGCATCCCAGCTGCTCCAGCTATAGCTGTGGCTAAAAGGGGTCAAGATACAGCTTGGGCAGTGGCTTCAGAGGGTGCAAACCCCAAGCCCTGGCAGCTTCCATGAGGTGTTGGGCCTGCATGTACACAAAAGGCAAGAATTGAGGTTCGGGAACCTCCACCTAGATTTCAGAGGATGTATGGAAACTCCTGGATGTCCAGGCAGATGTCTGCTTCAGGGGCAGACCCCTCAAGGAGAACCTCTCCTAGGGCAGTACAGAAGGGAAATGTGGGATTGGAACCCCCACACGGTTCCCAATGGGATACTGCCTAGTAGAGCCATAAGAGGATCACTGTACTCCAGACCCCAGAATGGTAGATACACTTATAGCTTGCACCTGGAAAAGGCACAGGCACTCAATGCAAGCCAGTGAAAGCAGCCCTGGGGGCTGTACCTTGTAGACCATAGGGGTGGAGCGGCCCAAGGGCCTCAGAGCCCTCCTCTTGCATCAGTGTGCCGTGGATGTGAGACATGGGGTCAAAGGAGATTATTTTGGCACATTAAGATTTAATGACTGCCTTGCTGGATTTCAGACTTGCATGGGGCCTGTAGCCTCTTTGGTTTGTCCAGTTGCTCCCATTTGGAGCAGGAGCGTTTACCCAATGCCTATACCCCATTATATCTTGGAAGTACTAACTTTTAATTTTTTTTATAGGCTCATAGGCTGAAGGGACTTGCCTTGTCTCAGATAAGACTTTGGACTTGGACTTTTGAGTTAATGCTAAAATGAGTTAAGACTTTGGTGGGGGTCCTGTTGGGATGGCATGATTGATTTTGCAATGTGAGACAGACAGGAGATTAGGGAGGGGCCAGGAGTGGAGTGATATGGTTTGGTTCAGTGTCCCTACCCAAATTGCATGTCAAATTATAATACCCACATGTCAGAGGAGGGATCTGGAGACAGGTGATTTGATCATGGGGATGGATTGCCCCCATGCTGTTCTCATGATAGTGAGTCAGTTCTCATGATATCTAATGGTTTAAAAGTGTGGCACTTCCCCCTTCACTCTCCCTTTCCTGCCATCACGTGAGACATGTCTCGCTTCCCCTTTACCTTCCTCCATGATTGTAAGTTTCCTGAGGCCTCCCAGCCATGAAGAACTGTGAGTCCATTGAACCTCTTTTCTTTATTAACACCTCAGTCTCAGGTAGTTCTTTATAGCAGTGTGGAAATGGATTTATACAGAGAGCAAAATTTAGTCAGAATAAGAATCCATTATTTACATTCTATTTATGTGAATAGCAGCAACTTTTTCTTGTAAATACCTAATTGAGTACTGTAAGTAAGCAAAATTTGTATCCAAAATAATCTGACTTACTAATATATTTAATTATTTTCATGACATATAATGTTTACACATGGATACAAGGTATTATGTTTGAAATGATAAAGCTAGGCCAGTATTTTTTTCTTCCATAATCAACGTGTTAGTTCCCTACAATCTATAAATAACATCAATTCAATGCATTTTCTAACAATGTGCATAACTTAATATTTCTCTCTTACTCATGCATTAGAGAGGGACACATTCATGCATAATACATTTATATGTCTGGGCTTCCTTCTCCTAGTCGTCTTTGATAGAACACATCTCATTTTTTTTCCGAGCATGTATTATATCTGTTTGTGTCTGTGTCTAAGAAAGAGGCATGGGGATGACTACAGTATGCTGAAAGGCATGAACCTAATCTTTTTTGATATAATATGCAGGAACCAGAGTGGAAAAAGAAAGCAAAAAGAGAACAATTTTTAAATGAAGCCATGTATTTTGTTCACAAAGTAGCAGATCTCCATTCATTCAGTAAATCAGAATTAAATGTGTGATCAATTCACTTCTTTATGCAATTTTTAAATGTCTAATGGCCCTTGTTTACCACATATTCATTGTAAGTATACTTTTATGGGTTAAGGGTCATAATACAGGTAGAATTCATTTTTCACAGATATTTCTGTTGATACAAGTATTTATGAATCATTCAAAACCTATGGTCAATTGTCATTAATGAGTCAATAATGAAATGCATAATTAATGGATTTTCATGATAGGTGGCAGTGAGTAAAGAATCCATAATGATAATTGTGCCTCTTGTGTCTCTACTGAAGGACAGATTACATGATGCATTTTAACTACCATAATAAACAGTGATCAGGTATTTTTTAAATGAATTTATGCCACAGTTTAGATTTAAGAAAAGAGAAATTAATCATGCATTGAAATTAGCACTGAACAGGTTCATGTAATACCCAAATATTTAAAATATTTTTTCTTTTTGAAGACTGAACACACACACAAACATACAATAACTTGAAATTATCAAGGTTTACTTTTTTTTTTTTTAGTCCAAAGTCCCTCAATCTAAAGCTAATTGTTACTACTGTTTGAGTTTCATATATCTCTAAGAAAATCAAAGCATTGACAAGGTCTTCAGCGCTGACTTCAAACTTTCAAAAGCCCCATATGAATATATTTAGAAATAATAAGCCATTGTACAATCCTTCATTACACTTTTATTTTACCTACCATAAAAGACATCAAAATTGTTCATTCTTTATACAGATAAAAATGGGAACTACTAATCCATTAAATGCAACTTTGAATTTAATGCAGCAGTACACAGGTGAGCAGATATTTCAACTTCAACTAAATGCATTAGCTCTTTCTAATGCTAGGCCTCTCTTTTATCTCATTTGGCCATGTATTCAAAAAATTAGCACCAAAAGCAGGTGTTTAGCTTCTCACAGGATTTTCTATAACAGAGTGTGATTTATTAAATAATGACCACAGTAACACCTGATATTGAATAAAAGACTTAGAAGCCTATCCCTTTCTTTAGCAGGGACTGAGGTAGGGTTTACCTCCAGGTACCTGGGTGATCAGTTCTCAGTGTTTGCTTCCAAAACTCCCTCCTGTACAGAGCCAAATCAAGATTCTGTATGTCTTCAAAAACTAAAATAGCCTCAAGCCATATTTTCAATAAACCTAATCTCCCGAATTACGTCCAATAGACTTGACATTATTTTTGACATCATCTGAATCATAGTTCCCAACTCATAAAAAACAAGAACAAATGTACATAATTTTAATTGACATTTCGGAATGTTCAATACATGATTGGAAAATAAAAAACATGAACAATAGTAACAAAAGGAATAGGAAATAATAGAACGTGCACAAGAAGTTTAGTAAGCACAGTAAATACTTTCAATTCAATTCATTTATTATAATAAAATAATTGCAGAGATTCTTTTGATTTGGTATTTGGTATTATTTTATTATTTTCTGTAAATGTTTTTGTAATCTACTGGATGGTTTGAATAACCAAGCCAAGGATAATTATATGCAAATGATTAAGAGGTCAGTAGCAGATAAACTTGGAAAATAAAATAAAATCAAACACATTTTAAAAGTGAGCATAAAACAATATATAATTTATTTGTAAGGGGTTTTTGGAGTGTCAAATTATGCATAAAATTAAAAAAAATTCTCTATATGTCAGTGAGATGAAAATATTAAAAGTCTCCCAAATATGTGGAAATATTTAATTGGTTCTAAAAAACTATTTTATTATGCTATTCACATTTCTAGATGTGATTCAAGAAAGTAAAATGTTGAGTCAGGGCTAGAGCTATATATAGAGGTAAAATAAAAATCAGTCACCAAACAAATAAAGTATATTATTTCTCCTTTTCCCAGAAGAAAAAAAAAAATAGCCTCACCTGGGGAGAGGCCTGACTACTTGAAAGAAATTTTACATAACACATTATCCACAAGAGAACTAGTGCAGATGATTCATGAAGCACGCGAGAGTTACAAAGGACACTGAGACATAAATATATGAGCAAGTAGAAGATAGTCATGAATATGAAAACAGGAGAAGGTGAATGGGAGAATGCCTTTCATTATGTACCACCAGTTATAATTTAATAAAAATCCGGTGCAAGATTTTTTAGATCAGAGTAGTTAAAAACACAATTTAAGACTTATAAAAAATAACTACTTAGGATTGGAAGAGAAGGATTCCCGAGAGGCCATTGCTAGTGCATAACTTCAGATTTTATTTTATGGTCATTAGAATATAAATTTGTAATTACAGGAGGAGACACATAAGCCAATAGCAAGATGTCATGTTTAATTTAGAACTTTTATATTACACAGACTTACTCTAACTGTAAGCTGTTTTCCAGGAATTGTTTTATTTCTTCACATACGAATTCTTTGTATTTGTTGTAATATTTGACCATTTTTCAAAAATAAAGAAGCACTGCTGCTACCACTAAGTGGCTAAAGATAAAATGGTTTGACTTATCTTTTTAAGTAGGTAAATAAACAACATTGAAACGTACTTCAAATGATAAAAAAGGATTAGATTTGAAAAATATAAAAGGATATCCAGAAAATCTGACTAGTAGATTCATTTATAATACATGCCTTAGTTAATTGATGAATATGCTTATGTAACATGAAGGACCATGAATTACACAAAGAAAATGTGCATTTCCAAATGTTCTAAATTCTCTTAACATTTCCAATGTACTTTATTTTTATTTCTTACCCTGATTCCGCAGGCCATTTAAAGTGACAAAGTAACTCTTTGAAAATATTGTCCATCTGACTTCTACACATCACACCATAGTGGAAATCATCCATTCTATGATCAGTAGAAGGTCATATGAATGCTGATGCCTAAGTTTCTGCTAGCTCCCAAGTGAGAGCTACAAATTACCCCAGCTCAGAGACTTCCAGAAGAGCTGCTGAGATATGTTCCAAACATTATAGAGGACAATGCAGATGTGATGGCTGCTAGCTACAAAGAAACTCAGCCACATGTTACCCTAGTGTAGGACTAATCAAAGTCTCAGGGAGGTTTGCATGAGGCTCTGACAGTGGTGAGGCAGCAGCAGTAGTCTCTCAGTCACCAAAACCCCAAAACAAGAGGCAATTTGAAAGAGTGGAGGAAACTTTTAGCAACCAATGTTCCCAAAACACATAGATCTTTGACAGAAAGGTAGGTTTGCTACCAAAGTAAAACGCTAGTTAGTAAGACCAGTAGCAGAGGAAAGAAGGCCAGATTGTTGGAGCTCAGAAAATTCCTGCAAGAATACATGTGCTTTATGGATGACAGTTAGGGGACTGATAAAATCAAATGGACCAGCAGAACTCACAGAGATGTAGAAGAAAAGCACAACCAAACAGATGATACAATGCAAAAACCCAGAATGGGCTTGTCTGTTCTGTCTAGCAAATATTACAAAAGTCAATTTCTGGACTTTGAAGAATTAACATGATAAACAAGTCAGGGACAAGAACAAGAACAAAGTCAGAGAACATATCACTTCTCTTTTCCTGGGAGGTGCTTTAAACATTCCAGAACAAGCTAGATTTTGGAGCTAACATTTCTCTTCAGTTATTTTTGTATCTTGCTTATCCTTCTTTTTTTTTTTCTGTTAAGCTGTAAAATTGTATAATGTTCTAAGTGATGAATTGCATAGACATGTTGCTTGGCTATTGGCATTAGTCTCTGCTTTTGGCTACGATGAAAGTTAAAACTCATGATATCAAATTATCTATACTCATAAATTCTTTTAAAATTGCACAATTCTAATAATGTCTCATCCCAGAAGAAAAAAAAGTAATAAGTCTTGTTATGGCTTGAATTGTGTCTCACCCAAACTTATATTTTGAAGTCCTAAACCGCAGTGACTCAGAATGTAACTCTATCTGGAAATGGGATCTTTACAGAAGTAATAAAGTTGAAATGATATCATCAGGATGGGCCCTAATCTAATATAATCAATGTCCTTTTAAAAGGGAGAAATTTGGCATATTAATAGTTACAAACATAGAAGAATATCATGTGAAGATGAATTTGTGGTGCTTCCATAAGCCAAGGGATGCCAAAGATTACCAGCAACCACAAGTAGCTAGACAATAGGCTGAAACAGATGCTTTCTCACAGCCTTCAGAAGGAACCAACCCTGCCAGCACCTGAATGTTTGTCTTCTAGCCTTCACAATTGTGAGACAATACATTTCTGTTAAATTTAAGCGACCACCTGTTGTACTTTCGTACAGCAGCTCTAACAGGAAAATATAGATCTTCACACATAAAGTGTATTATAGGAAGAATCTATATGACTATGTGCAATTCTGTTTCCAGTTTTCAGAGCTCTGCCTGACCAGTAAAAATCCCATTGTGGACTACAAAGTTTAAACAAGAGAGTAGCCTCCACAGTTCCCTTGCAATTGGACAACAAAATAGCATTACTACCATGACTGGCTTTTGGCAAGTAGCCATGGATATTGGTAATCTTTTGTTTCTTGTATTATTCTGTGATGAAAACTGAAACCAATTTGCCTTCATCCAACAAGGAATAGTATATAACCCTACTATTCTGAATTCATCAGTAATATATCATCAAAATAATGGATAAACTCAAGTACAATGTGAAATGCTCATGGGTAGTCAGGCAATCTTGTAAACTGATGTCTTTATTTGAGAAAAGAGTGGTATTTTTTCCTAATATAAGTGTATGAAGAAACAAATGTAAATACTTTAGAGGCTCCCACAAAATTCAGCATATTTTGGTTTTAGAAAATTTTAGTTCTGAAGAATTTCCTTTGTATTTTCTTCTATGATCCATGAATTAATTAAAGGTCTGTTGCTTAATTATTTGGAGATTTTCTAGATACCTCGTTGTTATAGTTTACAAAATTCCATTGATTGTGGTAAAGAAACATACTCTGCATGATTTCAATAAGTTGAAATTTGATGAAAAAGTTCAGTGGCCCAGCATATGATGTATCTTGGAAAATGTTCCAGGTGAATTTGAAAAAAAATTGTATAATTTGAATGTCAGGTGAAGAACTCTGTAATGTCAGCTGGGTTAAATAGATTAATAGTGTTCACGTTTCTACTAAAATGTCTGAAGTTTCTATTTCTCTTAATTTTAATCATTGGTGCGATGTATATTTTGAAACTCTGTTATTAAATCCATACATATTTAGGCTTCTTATGCCTTTTTGATGTATTGATCATTTTATAAACATAGTATGTTCCTCTTTATCTTTAAACATATTCCTTGTCTCAAACTCTACATTATCTGATATTAATACAGCCACTCTAGCTTTTTTTATAACTTGTGTTAAGCATTTTATCTTTACATCTTCTCATTTTCAACTCATGTGTGTCCTTACATTTGAAGTTCATATTTTGTCATTAGCATAACATTTCATTTATCTCAAAATGTCTTCTCTCACTTTAATTTTTAAGTATATGTTCGCTGACTAGAGTATTCTTCATTGATAGTTTTTGTTTTTATTTTTTCTTTCAGCACTTTATGCTATTTTATTTTGGCTTCCATTGTTTCTGATTAGTCTGCTCTTTGTCTTGATATTCTATACTTAATATGACTTTTTATCTTGGGTTATTTTTGAGATTTCTATTATTTATAGTTTTTAGAAGTTTGAGCAAAGTGTGACTAGACATGGTTTTCTTTGTATTTAATCTATTTTGTGTTTTGTGAGATTCCTGAATCTGTGGATTGTTTCTGAGCAGTTACAGCTGTCCTGTTACTGCACCATAATAGAAGAGAAATCAACTTATTGAAAGAAAAGTCATGACTCAATCATTCTCATTCTGCAGTAGGTCCTTGCAAAACTAAGTGGACAAGATTCAGATAGTTCTATTGTTAAATTGAAATAATAGCTCCAATTAAAGATGAACATGCACCCAAGACCGTAAACCAGTAACTGCTTCCAGTTAGACACAAGAAAGGCTTTTCTATAGTAATAATAATATTTAAAAAAGACTTAATAAGGCATTGCTTATAATACTTGACACTTAAATTGATAGCGTACTTGACTTTAAACAGCCCACCTCTGGACTGTGATAAAGCAAAGAGAATATTATAGCTATCCATCATAATGACGATAAATTGCTGCTGTCTCAATCTATTAAGTGTATTTTTTCTTATAGTATTCATAATTACAGTGTAAGATTTCTTGAGTCAGCACCGTTGATATTTTGGAACAAATAATTGTTTCATTGGGGGACTATTATGGGCATTGTAGAATGTTTAGTACCATCCCTGGCCTCTACTTATGAGGTGCCAATAACATCCCTTTTCATTGCCAATTGTGACTATCAACAATGTTTCCAGACATTGCCACCTATCCCTTACAGGCAAAATAACTCCCAGTTGAGAACCACGGCTATAGAGCAGGGGTCCCTAACCTCCGGGCCACTGAACAATACTGGCCTTTGGCCTGTTAGGAACTGGGCTGCACAACAGGAGGTGAGTAGCCTGTGAATGAGCATTACCACCTGAGCTCTGCCTTCTGTCAATTCAGTGGCAGCACTAGATCCTCATAGGAGCACAAACCCTATTGGGAACTGTGCACTTGAGGGATCTAGGTTGTACAGTCCTTATGAGAATCTAACTAATGTGTGATAATCTGAGGTTTAACAGTTCATCCCAAAACCCTGTCCCACCCTGTCCGTGGAAAAATTTTCTTCCACAAAACCTGTCCCTGGTGCCAATAAGGTTGGGGACTGCTGCTATAGAGCATACCTCCTTGAAAGTGACTAAAAAAATATATATCATTTACTACTTTTTCAGTTTTGTTTCTGGAGGTGTTGGGGGATACCTTTACTAATCACTTGTCTGCATAAGATTATTGGTCTACCCAAGCTGATATGGCACAGTACTTGGTTTCTTTCCTTTGGATGCACATGGAAGAATATATTCATGAATTTGGTCTTCATATTGTACTTGCAAATGCCTATATGAAGTAATATGGCTAAAGAAAAAATATTAGACTTAGAAAGCCAGTAAAGCATGTTACCCATCATGTCCTCCATAGATTATTAAAGCCATGTTGTAACCCGTCATGATAATGGAACCACCAAAAGGACTGAAATGACTAACCTAATTTTTTTCTGACTTATGTAATTGCCAACTCTGCCAACCTTCCCAATATTCACCTCTATAGGACCACTTGTCACATTTTAGTTAGCCATTTAAAGATACCTATGAACATACATGCTTAGCTAATTTTTTATGCACCCAAGAGTGGAAGGAAACAGATATTGTGAAAGCAAATAGAAAGTACTAAAGAAACTTTTTAGTGCCTCTGTTTTAACTTCAGTAGATAGGTAGCTAATATTGCTCAGATGGTGGACACTAGGATAAACATCAACAAAAATATAAACTTTGCCTTAGGTGATTCTACAGCCACCATACTCTGCCTTTAGATGTTATGCATGGTGAAAAAATGATAATAATTCGATTTACATGGAACTCATTACTCCAGAAAAGGAAAAGGGGCAGTCTTGCTCATGCATGAGAGGGCATGACATCCAATCCTGAAAAAAAATTAGGAAAGCAGAGGAAGGTAGGCAATAGTTCTCTTGTTTTCTTAGCGATGGGAACAAGAAGCTCCAATCAACTTTCTATGGTTTTCTCAGGTGGAAGCTCATCAAATTACTTTTTTGCAATGTTGTCTATGTCCCTTCTCATCTGATCCACCTGCATGAGATCTTATTGATTCTCACATTCCAGGAAATATTTCAAATACCTCTATGGCCTGAAATGACACAGAATCGAAGGGGAGACATGTAATAATCCTGTAAAAACTGACGTTCACACTAAGGAGAGAGGGTTCTGGATTGTCCTGGAGGCTCATTTTGTCTCCTCTTTTGGTAGACTAGTAAAGAGCTGACTAGCAGGTCAGAGCTGGCCCCATGGAAGAACAGAATGATATCAGCCACTGATCATGGGACTTGCCACCTTCTATCAGTCCACCTTTTTAAGCCAGAGAACTATTTTTACATGTTTGCATAACTGTCCCTACCTTTTGATCTAAATCATTATATATTATACAAATCATGTATAATGGAGTGGGAACTTCTCTACCGAGAAGTTGGCCATAGTGGGAGCCGTTCATCTATATTAGCCTAGCTTTGAGCTCAGGAATAACTTTTTGAGAATGTGATATTCTTCTACATAAATTTCATGTATGTTTTTCCCCAACAAAGCTTATTTTATATATCTACAGTATGCGTGATTAGCGTTATCTGTCTATAACCCTTCATACCATAGTTTTATCTTAAAATATCCTGCAATGCTCATAATTCTTATCAAATAATATATTTTAAAAAATATTTACTATGCTACCACTATTTTATATAGTTAATGTGTTGAAACTCTCTAAAATGTCATTAAGACAATCAATGGAACTTTAAAATCTCTTCTATAACCACATTTATGCTAATGAAAAATCTATTTCATGATATTTCAATTAACTCTCAAAATACTCATAAACCTTAATACTGCCATTATTATTAAAAGCTTTTAGCTTTGGAGAAAAAGTAAGATTGATTTTACAATATATTATTGATAAGATTCTGCACAATAAAAAAAACTTTGGAAAATTAAATTTCATCAACACATGAGTTTAAATTCAAATTGTGAAAAATGTACATATTTTTTAATGAAATAATATTATTCCCCAAATTATTTTTGTAACCAGCATAATTTAGCATATCTTGTTTTGAAACAGTTTTAAACATTTTTTTTTTAATATGCAGTGTCTTGGTAATGGAATATAATGAATTTCAATGAAATTTCTATGTATTTATTATCATAGTGAAAGTCATAGAGTGTAATTAAAATGCAACAAACGATGACATGGATAAAAAGCCTTATTCAAAAGGATACACATTGTATTATTTCATGAATATAAAGTTTTAGAATGGGTAAAAATATCAGAACAGTGGCTGCCACTGGAAGGTTGGAACTGGGATTGATTAGAAAGGAATATAAATTTGCTTTATCAGATAATGGTAATATTTTATATATGAATAGAGGATTTGGTTATACAGGTAAAATCATTTGCCAAAAGTTAGATAATATGCACTTAATATTTATGGATTCTATATTATTTGAAAAGAAGAAAAGGAAATGTTGAGTTCTAATTAATAACACGAATGCTTTAGTATTTAGAGGAAAATTTGCTGATGTCTGCAGTTTATCTTAAAATGCATCCAAAAATAAGATGAACTGATAGACGGGCATATTAATGATAGAATGTAGATGGTGGGTATATAGATGTTCACTTCAAAATTCTTTTGAGTTTGCTATATTTGTGAGAGTTTTTATTATAAAAATGTTATGAAGTAAATATAATACACTTTTAGAAGTATAATTAAATTATAACAAAATAATATAAATGTGAAGATAATATAAATATAACAATGTAATGAAATAAAACAAGTAACATATAAATTAGAATTGCCAGCTAAGTACAAAACATATTGACAATTAAAAATAATATTTAACAATAAAAAATCTCCACTTGGACCATATAAGTCAAGAAAATATTGTTAATGCGTTACAGAATGAATAGATAGGGTGTAATTGATATAAACAATATGGAAAATGTTATAATAATGAGAAAAATCTAAGGTGAAAAGAGCTAAGATTGGCATTATATATAAATTTTTCTTGTACAAAACTTTCTTCAAAGGAAATATATAGGAAGACAATTTTTTAAAGCATTGTGCAGAATACTACTAATGTAACAAAAATTATTAATGTGAAATATAAAAGGACATAGAATAAATGTAATATTAACTTTCTAAAAGCCAATTTACCCCTTTTCCAATTTTCTTTAAAAGATCGTTATATCCTTTTTATGGAAAGTATTCAGAAGATCCTTGAAAAATTTCAGCAATATAATGAAATGGCTATTCCAACACAAAACATAATGTTGAACAAGATACATTCTCAAGATTCTAACTCTAAAGGCTTCTCATTTCAATTCATGGTTATTCCTTTCTCTAAAATGACAATGTTGTATTGTTTAGGAGTTACACTTTCTATTTAACAAAATAATCAAAATATCTCATATAAATATATTTTTTACATATCCCTTCACATTCAGCTTTTTTATCCCTTAATCAACTAAAGTAACCAACTTTTATGCCTTAATTTCAGTCTGTGTCCAAAGTATTTATTTGGGACCGCAGAGTATATACTTACCTAATTTTTAAAATTGAGACTAAAACTCTCTACCAATATACTTGTCTTCTTTTATAGACTTTTTTCCCTCTAGTTCTTTATAAATTGAATGATCTTTATTCAACTCTAATTTCTTTATACATGTTCATCTTCTTATGTATAATAATACTGAATCACAGGAACACAAATTTGGATAAACAGCAATCAGTTATCACTTGGAAACTATTAAATCTGATTAATGAGTCTTATTCATTGAGATTATCTTTTAATAATTTTCATTTGAGGGACCAATTTATTTATTTATTTATTTTGATTTTTCACACAATTTTATTTTTAAATTATTTGAACTTTTAATTAAATCTGATATATGCTTACTATTAGAAAGTAATCCAGTAATATAGAAGTCTGTGTAAGATAAAAAGTATTAGCCTCTCCTTATAATTCTTTCATAGTTCTATTTTTTTATTGACTTCTTTTATCCATTTGTTTCTTTTTTTCACATGTTTTCATGTAGTGTGAGGCAGCATTTCATTTATAGCATTCCAAATGGATCATCTATCTGGAAATCCTGTTGTTTTTGGATTGTGGGTCATTTCCTGGATATGACGCATCCCATCTGATTATCAGTAAACTGAATCCACCTGCTCACATGGAGCCTTACCTCCAGGTTCCAAGCACTGCATAGTACACCATGCTTGGCTATCTTCTTCCTCAGTACTATTTAGGTCAAAATTCCACAGCTAGAGGCTAGAATTCACAGGTTATTTCTTTTATTCGCTTGGTTTGCAATAGCTCCACATCAGCTCACTGTTCTGCCACATCTCCGTTTTGTGGCTGCCATAGCATTTCTTTTTTAAAAAAAACTTTTTTAAATTAAACTTTAAGTTCTAGAGCACATGTGCACAATGGGCAGGTTTGTTACACATGTATACATGTGCCATGTTGGTGTGCTGCACCCATTAACTTGTCATTTACATTAGGTATATCTCCTAATGCTATCCCTCCCTGCTCCCCCCAACCCCATGACAGGCCCTGGTGTGTGATGTTCCCATTCCTGTGTCCAAGGGTTCTCATGGTTCAGTTCCCACCTACGAGTGAGAACATGCAGTGTTTGGTTTTCTGTCCGTGCGACAGTTTGCTCAGAATGATGGTTTCCAGCTTCATCCATGTCCCTACAAAGGACAAGAACTCATCCTTTTTTATGGCTGCATAGTATTCCAAGGTGTATATGTGCCACATTTTCTTCATCCAGTCTATCATTGATGGACATTTGGGTTGGTTCCAAGTCTTTGCTATTGTGAATAGTGCCACAGTAAACATACATGTGCATGTGTCTTTATAGCAGCATGATTTATAATCCTTTGGGTATATACCCAGTAATGGGATGGCTGGGTCCAATGGTATTTCTAGCTCTAGATCCTTGAGGAATTGCCACACTGTCTTCCACAATGGTTGAACTAGTCTACAGTCCCACCAACAGTGTAAAAGTGTTCCTATTTCTCCACATCCTCTCCAGCACCTGTTGTTTCCTGACTTTTTAATGACTGCCATTCTAACTGGTGTGAGATGGGATCTCATTGTGGTTTTGATTTGCATTTCTCTTATGGCCAGTGATGATGAGCATTTTTTCATGTGTCTGTTGGCTGCATAAATGTCTCCTTTTTAGAAGTGTCTGTTCATATCCTTCGCCCACTTGTTGATGGGGTTGTTTTTTTCTTGTAAATTTGTTTGAGTTCTTTATATTTTAAACATGCATTCTGGGTAATTCTAAAATTTGAGAAATATTGTTTTAAATAAGTGTTCCAAAACAATTTCATCCCAGTTTTCTTATCTAAGTTCTTGCAAATGCTTGTAGTGATAGTCTCATTGGCTCGATAATATATAATTTTCAATACCCTAATTTAGAAAAGATCGTCAACTAAATAACTTTTATATTATGGTTTTCATTTGTTGAAATGATTGGAAATAGATCAGATAGAAGTTATTGTCTCCCAAAAATTTACAGACTACAGATATTAGCACCCTGCATTTTCTTAAGTCAAACAGTCTCAAAATTCTTAAATAATACTGAAGCTAAATAGGTGTTTGTGCCAGGAGTGACTAGGAAAGAGGCTAGAATTTATTAAGCAATGATGACAGAGGTTTGGAGTCACATTAACTTGGATAATCACTCCAGCTAAAAGATATCTATACTCCGGGTAGATAAAAGAAGTCATTATATGTAAAAGATACTTGGACACACATGTTTATAGCAGCATAATGTCCAATTGCAAAATCATGGAACCAACGCAAATGCCCATCAATCAACGAGTGGATAAAGAAACTGTGGTATATACATATGATGGACTACTTCTCAGCCATAAAAAGGAATGAATTAACAGCATTTGCAGCAACCTGGATGAGACTGGAGACTATTATTCTAAGTGAAGTAACTCAGGAGTGGAAAACCAAACATCGTATGTTCTCACTGATAGGTGGGAGCTAAGCTCTGAGGACGCAAAGGCATAAGAATGATACAATGGACTTTGGGGACTTGAGGGGAAGGGTGGGAGGGGGCAAGAGATAAAAGACTACGAATAGGGTGCAGTGCAGTGTGTACTGCTCGGGTGATGGGTGCACCAAAATCTCACAAATTACCACTAAAGAATTTACACATGTAACCAACACCACCTGTACCCCAATAACCTATGGAAAAATAATAAAAAAGATACCTTTACTAATCACTGCCTGAAATATCAAAAATTCTGATATTGTACCTGTTGATATGTATTTGATTTAGTATTTTAAAACTACCTTCAAAATATATCAAAATAAGAATTCCAATGCACCATATGTAGTTACAACTACCTAGGGTTAGATTTCCTCAAGAACAAGCATAGGAAGAGTTTAGGAGAATCAAGAAAGGAGACCTAATTTTGTGGCTGGAGTCACTCCAAAAGATAGAGTTTTACTATAAGAATATCATGAAAAACAAATCATGAAACTAAATTTTTGGGCATGATCAAAGAGCCAAAAGTAGGAAGAAAACAAAATGGATAATTTGGGGGTTGAGGAGTCAAACAGTGGATCAAGTAAGGTTAATCATGCAAAGTATCAAGAACCATAGTAGAACAAGAGCACATTAAATTACAGTCAGGTCTGGAAAAAAATTTGAGGAAATCAGTTTATCTAACATAATGTCTCTTTTTGTCTTTTCCCCACCCCCCTGAAACCCTAAAATCTTTTCATTGCTGTAATTCTCTCCACCTTAGGGACGATTAGTTTTATGGTCTCAAAAATTTCTTTCAGATTTCTGGAAAAATAATAGTTTTGTTGTATCTTGAGTTCAGTAGGTCATTGGACACAATTTCGCATGTTATCTTTGTGAAAATAATTAGGTAATAGAAATTTGACAATAAATAGGTGCAATTAGAACTCTCTATGTAACTACATTTTTAAAAGTTGATTATTCAAGTAAGGTCAATCTAATTGGAAGATGCTATATTGGAATTAGCCAACAAATGGAATGAAAGAATTAATACAGCCAATATCTTTATTAAATAGAAAACTAATATGAAATGAGTAATAAAATTATGAATATAAACTTAAATATAATACCTTTCATCTAGTATGAAATAATGAGTTGATTAATTTTACAATTCCTTAGCCATGTTGGAAAATAGTTCATGTAAAAAAGTTATCTTAATTATTATCTCACCATAAGACAAATATATTCATATGACCTCAAAATAGACAATCTGAATCATTCTCTTTGTATGAGACTTACCATAATTGTGTGTGTGCATAGCACAATTTAATGAGTTTGCTAAAATATTGTACTAAATGCTGAAATAAAACAGGTGGTGTAGAATGGTGAAAAAATTATAAACTCTGTCATACAAATAAAGATTGTTGGAATTAGATATCTTTAGCAAAGAGAAAAGAAGACCTGGAGGGTGAGATAGGGACATCATCAGTCTTAATATTTTCCTACTGCTTAAGTTCATTGCTATTCAATGCAACAATAACCACTTCTTTAATTATTTGACAACACATGCAGTATTTCTGTTCAAGTTGTCTAAGAATCATTGATCCCAACATCAAAGTGTAGATGGCTTTGAAGGGCTGTCATGTGAAAGAAGAAGAAGATTTCTCATTTTATGCTGAAGGGCAAAAGTAGAATAAAAGGTTAAATGAATCAATGAGATAAATTTTAACTTATATATTAAATTAATACCTAACAATTTAGTCCATTATCTGTTATATTTAACCAAAGGTTATCTAAATAAATACTTTCAATCACACAATATAAAGTAGAATTTTGTTTAGGTAGAAGTAGTTTCACTAATATCCGTTAGTGCTCATTTCAAATTACAGCTTAAGGCTGTAATATTTTAATTTTTAAGAAAAAACAATTTGCCAAAGGTTTTGTCTACATTAAAATATCCCATTAATTATATAATTACTTTAATGGGCTTTCTATCAAATCTGAGATGCAGATTAAACAGAAAATAAACATCAATTAATCGATATCCATTGATTTCTATTTCCTTATATTTTGTTTAATCTGTGTATCATTCAGCGGGCAGTTACCATTAAAATTGATATTATTACTCTGAGTTATCAATACTTGTTTCATAGCATTCACTGGCTCAAATTACTCTATTAAATTAGAGATGACAAAAGAAACTTCACACCCTCAAAAGTAACTTGTAATTCTGGAATTCTTATCACTAGCATTATTTTAAATAAAGTACTTCTTAAACAATAATGATAAAGTGCCTATTTGATCCAGAAAGAGAAGTACATAAACTCATTATTCATTAATTAATTCATCATATAGCAGGAATTAGGGCCTGGAAGAAGTTAAATTTGAGGAGTCTAAAGTAGGATGCACTATCTCACAGAGCAGATTCAGACATGGCGATGATGTTGGGGCCGTCAAACTGGCTAGGGTGTTGTTAAAGATACAGATGAAGTAGAGAAAATTGGGGTAAACAGTTTTCTCCACAATTTTGCTCCAGCTATGTTTGTAAACAATTTTTTAATAATTTAATAATTTTTTTCTATAGTAATAACACTTAACATGAGATCTACCCTCTTAGTGAATTTTTAGGTGTACCATACAGTATTGTTAACTACATGCACAATTTTGTACAAAACATCTCTAAAATAAAGAAATTAATCTTGTGTAACTAAAACTTTATACCCACTGAACATCAGTTCCTTCTGATATGGTTTGGATATCTGCCCTTCTCCAGATCTCATATTGAAATGTGACTTCCAGTGTTGGAAGTAAGCTTAATGGGAGGTATTTAGGCCTAGTGGGAGGGCGGGTTCCCTCATAAATGGTTTAATGTCCTCCGTGTGGTAATGAATGAGTTCTTGCTCTGTTGGTTCACAAGAGAGCTGGTTTTTCAAAAAGCCTGGAACCTCTTCCCTCACAGCCTCATACTCCCTCATACTCCCTATCTCTTAACCCTCTTTTGCCTTGTGACATGCCTGCTCCTGCTTTAACTTCCACCACTAGTAAAAGCTTCCTGAGGCCTTAGCAGAAGGCAAGCAGATGCCAGCGCTATGCCTCCTGTACAGCCTGCAGAACCACAAGCCAGTTAAACCTCTTTTGTTTATAAATTACCTAGTCTCAAGTATTTCTTTATAGCAATGTAAAAATGGACTAACACAGAAAATTGGTACAGAGGAGTGGTGCATTGCTATAAAGGTACCTGAAGATATGGAAGAGGTTTTGGAACTGGGTAACAGGCAGATGTTGGAAGACTTTAGAGGGCTCAGAAGAAAACAGGAAGATGAGGGAAAGCTTGGAACTTCATAGATACTGGTAAGATGGTTGTGATAAAAATGCTGATAGAAATATGGGCAGTGATGTTCATGCCGATGAAGTGTAATAGTCCATTTTCTCGTTTCTATGAAGAAACACCTGAGACTGAGTAACTTATAAGGAATATAAGTGTAATTGGCTCGTGGTTCACAGGCTGTACAGAAAGCATAGTGGTTGCTGCTTCTCTGGAGGCCTCAGGAGGCTTCCTTTCATAGCAGAAGGCAAAGGTGTGAGGAGGTGTCTCACAGGGTGGGAGTAGGAGCAAGAGAGATAGAACCCATGAGGTGTCACACACTTGTAAACAACCAGATCTTGCAAGAATTCACTCACTATCGTGAGGACAGCACCAAGGGGATGGTGTTAAACCACTCATGAGAAATTCACCCTATGATCCAATAACTTCCCACCATGCCCCACTTCCAACACTGAAGATTACAAATTAACATGGGATTTGGGTGGGACATCCAAACCATGTCATTCCACCTCTGGCCCCCAAAATCTCATGTCCTTCTCACATTGCAAGATGCAATCATGCCTTCTCAATAGTCCCCCGAAGACTTAACTCATTTCAGCATTAGCTCAAAGTCCCAAATCCCAAATCACATCTGGAGATGAATTCCTTCTGCCTATGAGCCTATACAATCAAAACAAGTTATTTACTTTCAACATACAATGAGGGTACCACCATTGGGTAAATATTCTCATTAAAAAAGAGAGAAATGAGCCAAAAGAAAGGGGCAACAGGCCCTACGCAAGTTCAAAACCCAGCAGAGCTGTTATTAAAAGAGCTCCAAAATAACCTCATGTGACTCCATGTTCCAAACCCAGGGCACACTGGTGTGAGGGTTGGGCTCCCAATGCCTGGGCAGATCCATCCCTGTGAGTTTGCAGCGTTCAGTCTCTGAGGCTTCTCTCACATGCTTGTATTGAGTGCCTATGGCTTTTCCAAGTGTAGGGTGAAAGCTGTTGTTGGATCTACCGTTCTGAGATCTAGATAATCGTGGCCTTATTCTCACAGCTTCACTAGGCAGTGCCCCTGTAGGGACTCTGTATGGGAGCTACAACTCCATTTATCACCTCTGCACTGGCCTAATAGAAGTTTTCCTCAAGGGCTCTGCCCCTGTAACTGGCTTCTACCTGGACATCCAGGCTTTTCATACATCCTCTAAAATCTAGGTGGAGGCTCACAAGCCTCAACTCTTGTACACTGTATATCTGCAAGTTTAAAATCACATGGAGTTACCAAGGCTTAGGGCTTGTATTCTCTGAAGCAGTGGCTTGAGCTGTACCTGAGCCACTTTGAGCCATAGCTAGAACTGGAGTAGCCAGGTTGCAGGGAGCAGGGTCCCAAGGCTGCACAAGGTAGCTGGGCCCTGCATCTGACCCAGGAAATAATTCTGCCCTCCTAGGCCTCTGGGTCTGTAATGGGAAGAGCTGTGTCTTAGGTCTCTGAATAGGCCTTTTTCCCATTGTCTTGGCTGTGGTTACCTGCCTCCTTTTTAGCTATGCAAATTTCTGCAGCCTGCTTGAATTCCTCCTCTGGAAATGGGCTTTTCTTTTCTTTCACATGGCCAGGCTGCAAGTTTTCCAAACATTTATGCTCTACTTTCCTTTTTAATATAAGTTCCAACTTATTATTTGCTCCTGCATCTGAGCATAGGTTATTAGAAATAGCCATATCACTTCTTGAACACTTTGCTGCTTTGAAATGTTTTTACTCTTTGGAAGATCTACCATTCTGGAGTCTGGAATGCAGTGTCCCCCTTCTCATGAGTGTTCCCCATATCCCACCTGCTCCAGCTACAGCCACTGCTCAAAGAGCTCCAGGTACAACTAGGGGACACAAGCTGTAAGCCTTAGTGGCTTCCACATGTGCTAACTCTGCAGGCACACAGAATGCAAACATTAAAAAGGCTGGCAGCTTCCCCCTAGATTTCAGAGGATGCACTGGAAAACCTGGTGCACAGGTAGAAACTTGGTGTAAGGGCAGAGGCCCAAAGAGAGACTCTACTAGGGTAGTGCTGAGGGGAAATGTGGGGATGGACACCACACATAAAGCCCTACCCAAGGCACTGCCTAGTAGAGCTGTGAGAAGTGGGCTGCTGTTCTCTAGATCTGAGGATAGTAGACCCACTGGAAGCTTACGCCCTGCACCTGAAAAAGCCACAGGCATTAAACTCCAACCCTTGAGAGCACCATAGGGGTGCACCCTGCAAAGACATGGGGAGGGGCTACCAGAGGCTTTGGGGATCCACTCTTTTCACCAGTGTGCCCTGGATGCAGGATATGGAGTCAAGGAAGATGATTTTGGAGCTTTAAAATGTTAATGTCTTCCCTGTTGGGTTTCAGACTTGTTTGGGGCCTGTAGTCCCTTTCTTTTAGTTGATTTCTTGCTTTTTAAATGGCAATATTTACACAATGCCTGTACCACCATTGTATCTTAGAAGTAAATAACTTGTTTTTTTTTTTTATTTTTATTTTCCAGGCTTATAGGTTGAAAAAACTTGTCTTGAGTCACAGAGATGTAATTGGACTTTGGATTTTTGAGTTGATACTGGAAGGAGTGAAAACTTTAAGGGACTATTGGGAAGGGATAATTGTATTTTGCAATGTGAGAAGAACATGAGATTTGGAGAGTCTGGGAAAGAATGATATGGTTTGGATGTTTGTCACCTTTCCAAATCTTACGTTGAAACATGACCTCCGATGTTGGAACTGGACCTAGTGTGGGGTGTTTTGGTCAAGAAGCAGATCCCTCAAGAACAGCTTGGTGCCTGCCTCATGGTAATGAGTAAGTTCTTGCTCTGTTGTTTCACATGAGAGCTGGTTGTTCAAAGAGCCTGGGACCTCCCTCCTCATCTCTTGCTCCCTCTCTTGCTATGTGACATGGCTGCTCCTGCTTCACCTTCTATCATGAGTAAAAATTCCCTGACACCCTAACAGAAACCAAGCAGACACTGATGCCATGCCTCCTCTATAGCCTGCAGAACAGTGAGACAATTAAACCTCTTATCTTTATAAATTATTCAGTCTCAAGTATTCCTTCATAGCAATGCAAAACAGAGCTAACACACCCCCATTTCCCGCTCCTCCTGGCCCTTGGCTACCATCATTCTACCTTCTATTTCTTTTTTTCTTTTTCTTTCTTTTTTTTTTTTTTTTTTTTTTTTTGAGACGTAGTTTCGCTCTTGTTGCCCAGGCTGGAGTGCAATGGTGCGATCTCGGCTCACCACAACCTCCGCCTCCCAGGTTCAAGTGATTCTCCTGCCTCACCCTCCCTAGTAGATGGGATTACAGGCATGTGCCACCACGCCCAGCTAATTTTGTATTTTTAGTAGAGACCGGGTTTCTCCATATTGGTCAGGCTGGTCTCAAACACCCGACCTCAGGTGATCCGCCTGCCTTGGCCTCCCAAAGTGCTAGGATTGCAGGCGTCAGCCACGGTACCCAGCCTCTACCTTCTATTTCTATAAATTTGACTATTTTAGATATAATGTATGAGTGTAATCATGCATTATTTTTCTCCTGTGAGTGCAATCATGCATTATTTGTTCTAGAATAGTGTCCTCCATGTTCATACATGTTGTTGCATATGGCAGGATGTCTTTATTTTTTAAATCTTCATAATATACTATTCATGTATATACCACATTTTCTTTATTCATTCATCCACTGATAGACATTTAGGTTGTTTCCATATCTTGGCTACTATGACTGATTCAATGAACAGGGCATATATCTTTTTGAAATACTGACTTTAATATTTTGGGATATTCCCAGAGTAGGGATTCTTAGATCTTATGGTAATTCTGTTTTTAACTTTGAGGAAGTTCCGTACTGTTTTCCATAGTGCTGCAATATTTTACATTCCTATCAATAGTGTACAAGTTCCAATTTCTCCACATATTTGCTAGTACAGTTTGGTGTGTTTTGAAATAAACTCATGTATATTCAGTCAACTAATCTTTGGCAAAGGTGAATACACAAGAGGAAAATGATAGTCTTTTCAACAAGCAGTGTTTGGAAAACTGGATATCCACATGCAAAAATGAAATTGGATCTTTATATTATGCCATACACAAAAATAAACTCAAAATGCATTAAATATTTACTGGTATATGCCTGAAACTATAAAACTCCTTAAGGAAAATTCTAGGGAAAAGCTTAATGCCATTGTTCTAGGCAATTATTTCTTGGATATGACATCAAAAACACAAGCAACAAAGGGAAAAATATATATGTGGGACTGCATCAAACTGAAGAGTTTCTGCACAGCAAATAATCAATATAGAGAAAAGGCAACCTAAAGAATAGGAAAAAAAGATTTGCACACTATGGATCTTTTTTAAAATTATTTATTTTTATTTATTTTTTTTGAGACGGAGTCTCACTCTGTCGCCCAGACTGGAGTGTAGTGGCGCGATCTTGGCTCACTGCAAGCCCCGCCTCCTGGCTTCCCGCCGTTCTCCTGCGTCAGCCTTCCGAGTAGCTGGAACTACAGCCGCCCACCACCTCGCCCGGCTAATTTCTCTCTCTCTTTTTTTTTTTTTTTTGTAGAAATGAGGTTTCACCGTGTTAGCCGGGATGGTCTCAATATCCTGACCTTGTGATTCACCCGCCTCGGCCTCCCAAAGTGCTGGGATTACAGGCGTAAGCCACTGCACCAGGCCTCACTATGGATCTTTTAAGGGTTCAATAAAGATATATATACATTACTCCTACAACTCAATTGCAATGTAAGAGCCCAATTTAAAAACTAGGCAGAGGCCTTGAATAGACATTTCTTCAATTGAGGGAGCTCAACACGCGCTTTTAAAATAAAAGTAAAACATATGTTTTAATATCACTGGACAAATGATTCTCATGACAAAAAGTATTCTTGGCATTTACATAAAACTATACATGAGTAAAAAGAAGCAACACAATACTTTACCCAGGGTTTTATTTTCAAATGGGTTAAAAATAATTGCTAACCTGTACTATGCATTTTATACAACGTGCTATTTGAAAAATTTTACATCTTTCAATATAACATATATACTATATAATGTAACAAGATAGACATAATATAACAAAAGAAAAATAACATTAGCTTATGGTTAGAGAGAGACACATGGTAAGTGAAGGCACCAGGATACAAAACCATGTAGACTGTGTTAATAAACCTTGCCCCTCATCACAAACTACACAAAACAATACAGCTGCTTTTTGGTGCATGGGCCTCTGAAAACTACTTCAAAGTCAGCTTTGCATATCAATCCCTTAAAATACCCCATGGAATGAAAGGTTCTGTGGTCAAGCATATTTGGGATCCTTCAGATTTTATTTCCCACAGAACTTTGGAATGTCAAAGAAACCAGCATATGAACAGGACTCTGAAAAATCCTTAAGTAAAGGAATACCTTTGCATGTGCTTATATCCACATTTTCCAAATGTTGGTCAACAGAACCCCTGGAATAGTAACTATCAACCTTCTGGAAAATTTGCCACAACTTCCATGAATGCACATTGGGGTATTCTTATGCATAAAGGCCTGAGAAAATATTCTGGTGAAAAATATAATTTGAATAGTGGTTTATAATTTTGATGATCTTCAAAAAAATTATCCTCATTCCAAACCTGAGAGGAAAATATTCTTTTGCCTTTTTATCAGTGAGACAATAATCTCAAGAAAATTAAGTGACACAACCATGATTCCACAGGCTGTATACCTGCTCATTCCTCCTATAACTGTAAGGGGCAGTCTATCAATCATAGTATTATTATACTTCTTATTTATCAAATATGAAGGATTTTTTCTTTTTTAACCAAAACTCTGTTTTATAGAAGTGTTGACATTTTGAAGCTGCTCTAATTCACTCCCAGTTGCTGCATCAGTGCCAGTTTCTCCAATTAGTCTGACAACACATGTACTCTCAGTAGTCAAGTTGTCTTAGAATCATTGATCCCAAGACCAACAGATAAGTACTGCTGATCTTTAAACCAGTGATCAGAATGGCTTTCCTAATTATAGTTGTTCTCTTTCCTTTTCATCTGTATGACACAAACATTCTTAACAGACTCGAATCATCTGCCTAGAAGCTGTTGTCATTACTCATTAGAATTTCACATGAGAAAGGGTAAACAAGTCTCCTGGTTTCCATCTTTAGACTAAAAAGTCTTAGGAATAATTTCTTTTGTAACTTGGCTGAATTTAAAATTGTTTCTTCCACTGTACTTGTTAGTTCACAGTGTACTTTTATTAAAAAGAAAATTAAAATTATTTACTAGAAGTTTATTTTATACAAGTTTACTAAATATATTTTCATTCCATACATCATAACACAGTCACTTAGAAATGATGATAATTTGACAATTAAATTAATCTGCCAACGGGTTTGTAATGCTGCTGAGTGCATTATTGCAATACAATTTTCTGTAGTTCCAAGTAATTAAAGATTGAACAAATGTGGGCTAAGTACAGTATTTTTGGTCTGTTATTTACCCAGAGTTAATTATTTAATTATACATATTATTAGATTACTAGGTAGGTTAAAACTCAAGCTCCATGAGTAGCTTTCTCAAGATTAAGATAATTGAAGCCTATATGTTCTCAGATATTTAGTTATTTATTTATATAATCAGCACGTTATTATAATATTTCTCTCTCTTGTTGCCTGACTTTTGATCTTTTTAGTGCTTCTTCACACCTCTAATAAAGGATGAACAAAGAAATACTAAACTTAGATTAGTCTACTTGTTAGTCATTGGACCTGAGTCAGGAAAGTTCTACTGGAAACCCGTAGCATAAAAATGACAGCAATTTTTTTTTTTTGTAATCTCTTGGTCAGAGGAAAGCTCAATTTTTAAACCATACTTTAGTTTTATGAATTATGTTTTTATGAATTTTAACTAGTTATATTCCCTGTATTTCAGTGTATATTAATTAATTTTTATTTCCATAACTATGTTTTAAAAATTTTATCTCCCAGAAAGAATGCCATACTATGGAATTTGAAATATATTAAGTTCCATATAAATATGGGGTCAGACTAGTGCTCCTTTTTTATGCCCTACACTATTTTCTGTGAATATATTGGTAAAAATTTTTACAACTTAAATCCACACTGGAATCTAAATAAAATAGTTAACAATTTTCACACATATATTGAAGGTGTTTCATGAAAGTACTGTGATCAGAAATACTCTAGTTTAAAAAACTTAATTATTGACATGGGCCTTCTTCACTCTGGTTCACAAAAGCTTGCGTAAGACATCTAGGAACAGGGGAAGATATTTATTCTACTGGCATATGCCCCTACCCTCAGCTCTTGCTTGATCAAAGCCTCTCATGCATTGTCCCCACAGCTAGAATAATCAACCTCTATGCCTTACAAGACTTCAGAGCTACATCTTGCCCATTCAATCAAACATGAAAGACTTTATTTCTACATGTATTCAAAGATTATAGAATAGGGCTCAATAAAATAAGCAATTTCCTAATATAAATGCAAGGAACAGTGCATATATTTCTTAGCCATATAATTAAATAATTGCCACCTGACTAAGAGCAACTGGGGTAAACACTACCCTTTGTGTAGCCAGATACCACAAAAGAGATAAGGTTTGAGAAAACCCTATTTCAGTTGAGCAGAGGCTCAGTAGTTAACTAACTATATACCAGACACTAAGGGCATAAGGTATCATCTTGCAGCCACTTTCAACTTTTATTTTTGGAAATAATTCTTCCTTTACTCACATAAACAGTAAATAAAGTCAAGAAAAAATGTCGGCCGGGCACGGTGGCTCACGCCTGTAATCCCAGCACTTTGGGAGGCCAAGGTGGGCGAATCATAAGGTGAGGAGATCGAGACCATCCTGGCTAACACGGTGAAACCCTGTCCCTACTAAAAATAAAAAAAAAAAAGAAATAAAAAAAAAATTAGCTGGGCGTGGTGGCGGGCTGCTCCGCTGCTCCGGAGGCTGAGGCAGGAGAATGGCGTGAACCTGGGAGGCAGAGCTTGCAGTGAGCTGAGATGGCGCCACTACACTCCAGCCTGGGCGACACAGTGAGATTCCGTCTCAAAAAAAAAAAAAAAAAAAAATCAAGGCACATTTATTTAAAAATGACAAGTTTGGCTAGAATTCATCTTTATGAAACATTCTAAACACATTAAAAATAAGCAAACACATATACTATTAGTCTACGGATAAAAAATAACTCCCTTCTATCTCAGAATTTCCTGTATCTATATCTATAAAATCTATACCTGCAGAAATTACATAGTGCACCACTACCTCTCTTTTCTGACCTAAATCGAAAAGAAGATAGTATTTTTTTTCTATTACTCAAGAATAAGAGGTATCAAGAAAACTTAGTTTAGGACCCTGTTTCTACAAGTAAATTTTCAGAAGTGTAATAATAATGAAAGGTTTAATGAAGCAGTCTGCAGGTAGGATTTTGTTTTTTGTTTTTAGGAGAAAGAAGACTTAAAATTATTTTGGAAATATACATTTCAAATATAATTGCAATGTTTTATCTCTAAAGCTGCACCCTACAAACATTGTAATGTTGATTAATAGTCACTCAATGGTAAACAGTTAATTAAACCAGTTGTCACTGCCAGGTGCCTTAGTAGAAGATACATGCCCTCTGAAGCAAAAGTAGTTGTTTTGGTTTTTGTTTGTGCCAAAATATATAAAATATAAGATTCCATATAAAAATCCAGATTTTCCACTTTTCTTGACAAATAAGAGTATTTGGCAATGGCAATACCGAGCCTTCATTGCCATAGGCAGCCATCTGTTTGAATTGACTGCTGTGTCCCCTTAGCTGAATCACACACACTCTCTACTCACAATCCTTCCCCCATGTCTCGGCATATTTTGTTCATTACAAGATCCAACTAATTTGAATTTCCTATCTTTGCTCTATTTTACCAGAGCATATTTTCATGACAAATATGTACACATTAGTTAAATCACAGTTCTTGTTTTTACGATATTGCGATAGAGCTCCAATTCATAGAAATAGATCAATAGTTTAAGTGGTTTACTGAAAAATAAACTCCTGAAGAATTTTTAAAGCAAAAGTTTTGTTAAGCAAGAACTTCTGGGAATTTTTTTTAACAAGAATTTGGTAAGAATGTTAGGTCAATTAATGCTGAAAAGAATGGTATTACCTTTGATGGATTTGTATAAAGAAAGTTAATGAAGGTAACAGTAGTTAATAACTGTATGGTGAGTCTTAAATCCCATGTACTCCTCAGGTTGAACATTGACATGAGAAAACCTGATTTACAGTTTTAAAGTGAAATGTTCCCTAAATTAACAGGCTTCATCACACTATTCAGGAAATTGGCCATGTTGATATGATAGGTTATATGTGATTTTGCTTAATTAGAATTTTCTGCAGTTTGCAAAATTTTACAAGTACGTGTTTATTATATGAAATAAACATTTTATTTTTTATTTTTTTTTAGAGACGGAGTCTCGCTCTGTCGCCCAGGCTGGAGTGCAGTGGCGCTATGTCGGCTCACTGCAAACTCCACCTCCCGGGTTCACACCATTCTCCTGCCTCAGCCTCCCAGGTAGCTGGGACTACAGGCGCCCGCCACCATACCCAGCTAATTTTTGTATTTTTAGTAGAGAGGGGGGTTTCACCGTGTTAGCCAGGATGGTCTCGATCTCCTGACCTCGTGATCCGCCCACCTCGGCCTCCCAAAGTGCTGGGATTACAGGCGTGAGCCACCGCGCCCAGCCTGAAATAAACATTTTAAAATTGTATCATTATATACCATATGTTGGAACATTCTTGTATAGTTACCTAACCAAATACTATCATCTATAAAGGCAGTGGTGCTTGCTTCATATTTGATTTTTGAAATTAGGTAAGATTAAAGCTAGATAATATTAATTATTTATAATAATGTAACTAACTTGACCTCTTGTTTTTTTATTAGTAAAAGTCAATAGCTAAATAGGATTTTTTGAAACAGTATACAAAAATCTTGCCACCAAGATTAGAAACACTGAAAGACAGTTGAGATCATAATTTATTTGTCTGTTCTGCTGCCTTTATAATTTTATTTAATGAGATAATAATACAAATATATCTTTGTTAATAGTGTAATTCAACATAAGCTCTCTTTTTCATTATTGAATCATCATTTGCAAAAGAAAATGGTAGGTTTTCTTTTATCAAGTGATTGTATTTAACTTAAATTTATCACAAAACAATATTTTTACCATTTAAAAATAATAATTAACTTAATTTCACCTATGCTCAGTGTGAATAACTACAAAAAAATCTCTAATTTTTACATGACAAAATAAATATATGTCATGATTATATTTCTCTTTATTACCTTTTAAATACGCTTACATTAACAACATGCTATCAAGTTAATTATTATTATATAAGCATATATAATAAATTTAAAAATGAAGGCTTTATACCATATCCAAAATATTGAGAAAAATATGATAATGCAAAGCACTCTGTCTAAAATACAGTAATATAATTTTGTGAGGTAAGCCAATACTAAATTCAAAGAAACACCGTTCTTCACAACAGAAAATTGGTTGCGCAGACTTAACAATGACATTTCCTGCCTTTCCAATGATAATTGTTTGCATTAATGTGGCAGCATATAAGGGTAGAAATCTAGGTACTGCCAGAGTAACACCTGCCAAAATAACAGGGTTGTAGAGCAGATCAGATTCTGTCTCTCCTCCATTTATCTCCACTTGTTCCTTTCTCTGGTGTCCATATTTGTGAGAACTACCTTGCTTTTCTGCTTTTCCCTTAATTGTTCTTACTGTCATTAGCCATAAGTTTTAATTTTGTAATAGCCGGTGTTAACCCTTGAATAAAAATTTTCTACTTAAATTTTATTTTTAGACCTGTCTAGATTCTTGAAAAATGACTGAGGATAACAAAGTTGAGAACAACAAAAAGCTTTGTTCCTTTGAGTGGATTATTTACTGATACTTACTATATTAGAAATCATAACAAAGTTTAAACTGTGTTTATTACTTCATTTTTAAGAGCATATGTAAACATTAATAACACTATTAAAAATAACTATTTTTGAAAAAATTAGAAGAGTTGCAATGTTTTATGTTTCCAGAAATCTTTTTAATATTTGACTTCATAAATGACAACTGGATTCTCGTATTTACTTCTATGTTCCATCAATTGCAATCTCATATGTCATGCAATCCCTGGAGAACACCACTATATATTCATGAAAAAAAGAGTGAAAAGATTAAACAACATGTGAGTGGCCTTTTGAAAATAGTTTGACCTTGGAAATCTCCTAAAAGAGTCTTGGAGACAGCTATGGGTATCCACACACCACTCTTGATAAACACTGGCCTAGACGTTTTGTCTTTACAGCTTTCAAAGGATCAAAATACAAGTTTTAAGCTGTAACTATACAAATTAGGCTCCCTTGAAGTTTCAACTACAGAAAATACACTCATGCTTATTCATAGAGTAGTATCAGGACTGGAAGGAAATAAAGGTTCTCCAATTCCTTCAGTATTCACTAGCATCATTTTTACTATCTTCAAAATTACATGAACTCAGCTACCAGTTACAGTAATGTAAAAAGAACACATGAACTAATTGACAAGTAAATAAAAAGCACTACTAATAGTTGGTCACGACAAGTAAGGTCCTAAGCACTCTAAAAATATCAGCTCATTAAATAATGTAATATTTTTAGAGATAAAGAATGCTAACAATGACAGATCTGAGATTGGAACCTCATATCAGCCAGAGTCCAAACCTTGCCATCCATTTAGGGGAGCTGTTTCTACATTTTAGTCATATTCCATACAGAATTGCCTAATGTCTGTATAATAATATAATATAATACTCTGAGAAGAGAGTCCTGATTCTCTCTTCTCAGTGTAATGGGCTCCCCTCTGGCCCACAGCATGTATAGAGATGTCATCCAGGAGCCAAAGCCCGCAATCACAGATGCCAGGAATGGGCTTCCTGCTCTGTCTCACTGTGGGCAAGCTCATGCCCAAGCTACAAGACAGAGTCCCCTTTACTCTTCCCTCTTCTTTCCTCAAGCATACGGGGTCTCTCCACTTAGTCACCGCAGCTGGGAATGTGTTGGGTCACACCTAAATCCAGCATGGCTCTGAGCCTCACCCAAGACCCACAGTTAAGTACTGCCTGGCTGCCACTGTTTATTTTTAAAAGCCCAAGGGCTCTTTAGTGAGCAGGTGAGAAATTCTGCCAAGACACAGTCCTTCCCTTTAGGGCAGCAGGTTCCCTTTCTAGCCCAGAGTGTGTTTAGAAATATCCAGGAGCTAGAGTCTAGAACATGGGCTTTAGGACTCTGCCTGATGCCCTATCCTACTGTGGCTGTACTGGTATCTAAGTTGCAAGACAAAGTCCTCTCTCCTCCTCCCTTTCCCCTCCTTAAGTGGAAGGAAGTAGTCTCCCCTGGAGCTGCATGCTGTGCTGCCTGGGGTTGGCTGAGGAATGGCATAAGCACTAATCTGGCTGCCCCAGCTGGTGTCTTACTATATTACATGTGCTCCAAGTCACTGGCTCTGAGACCAGCACAGTACCAGGGCTTGCCCAGAAATTGCAGTCCTTGTGTTAGTAGACAACCTTTTCCATTTATTTAGGACCCTAGATCATTTTAGCCCACAGTGGCAGAGCTTGCTGGAACTCAAGTTCTGACCGCTGAGATGGGCAATTCTCTTCTGGCTATAGTTGGTCTAAATGCTCCCTCTGTGGATGCTGGTTGAGTTCTTCTTGAATTTGCTTTCTGCTGTGACAGCGCCACACTAAGTTCCAAGACAAAGTTTCACAACCACTGTGCTCTTCCTTTTTCAAGCTAACATATTCTCTGTCCAAGCCATGTGGCCACTCCTGGCCAAATGGCTTTAGGATTGTAATGTAGGCAATTCAAGACTCTTCCCTACTCTCTTCAGTGCCTTTTCATTAATATAATGTTAAAACCAGGTACGGTGATTGCTCTCCTGAATTCTGGTTCTTATGAAAGTACTTTTTTGTGTGGATAGTTGTTCAATCTGGTGTCACTGAGGGAGTGGGAGGACAATTGCTGGAGGCTTCTATTCAACCATCTTACTCCAAATGCCTAATTATTTATTTTTAACTTCAAAAATTCCCTAATGAATGTTCTGTTTTCCAGAAAATTCACTGACAGAAAATAACAAATAAAATTTGACAAAACCACTATATTTTCTTGGCACTGATAAAGAAAAATTAATAAAACTACTTAATTGAAGTTTTCTAACGCCTCCCACTCCCAGCCTTTATCAACCCTAAAACTACCTTTTTTGTCCTTTGTATTCTCATGGCACTTTGTCTCACTTTTCTGTGTTGGATTTATTTTCTGCCTTGTAATAAAATATTTAAATATTAAAAAGGATATATCTTCTATCACAAAGACACTTCGAGTTGCAGAACTGGCCTCCCCTGCATGCCTCAGGCAGGTCTATGCACAAAGTGGGCACTGAATCTATTTGCAACAAAAGAATTAGAATCTTCATTTTAAAAACAGCTTCTACAAAACTCCTGTAAAGCAGTGTCTGAGCAAGAATCATCATATCGTCCTCTGACAAATACTTTGTTGAACGGAGAGGAAAAAATAAACAAGTTTTTACGTATATGTGTTTAGCTGTTTTGATGTGAAGCTTTGGTTCCATTTGCAACTTTACCATATTGTGTATAATGAAAAATAGACTTTATAACAGATAATAGATTTGCTATTCTGCTTGCGTTGTGTGTAAATGTGATCATCTGCACTTTATTTAAATATAAGATAAAAAATGTTTAAATGTAATATCCTTTACCTTAGGATATTTTTAACCACAGAAAATGAAATCTTATTTTAAAATATAAGTTCACAAGAAGAAACATTTTATTCATAGACAATAAAATTGTTTGTTTCTTGGTTATAAATACATTAGGTAATAACCTAATAGATGTGAATCATTATACCTAACATATAAAAGAAATATGAAAGTAAATGATTATGTCATTGAGTTTTTTTTAGCATAGTCTGTTCATTTTTTGAGTTACAACACTTAAATATTAAGTAGCCTTTAAGAAATAAGCTATGTATTATAATTAGAAACAAGTCATTTTAACATGCACATATTGATGTATTCAATACCCTGTTCTCTATGTCTATTTTTTTTCACACCACCCAAAAAAGCTGTGTACTTAGAGATAATGTTCTAATTAACCAAAATGAAGCTAACATATTTAACTCTGAATCTGGATGCAAAGTGTTGTGGCAACCAGCATAAAAGAGTGTGTATTTAGTGTGTGTAAAAGTTGGTTAGAAATATACACTCATTGCAAATGAAAATAAGATGAAAATCATCTTAAAAAGGTAAAGCTTGAAAGCTTGACTAAGTTTTTCTTACGTGTAAACTTGATAAAAAACAGATTGAATATTTCTGTTTTGTTCTACTTAGCATAAGCAATCATAATGATATATCCCATGTGTTTATTGATTTATTTGTCAGAAGCAATACTCCTTCATGCAAGAGATTTACTATAAAATATTAATGTTTTATTTTATCGAAGTACATTTTATATTGTTAGCTTATTAAAAAGAATTATTGTCTTTCTCATACATGATTGATAATATATAACACTATGACATGAATAAAAAAGAACCTGTCAAATCATTTCTCAGCTTAACATTGTAAATAAATTAATTGGTAAATAAGAAATAAAAGGAATATTCTTAAAAACATTTCTCATTTTAGTGAAACTTTCAATGATAGTTTCCGAAGCAATTTCAAATGGCATATATTATCTTACATGTTAATGGAAACATGATTGGTTGTTTTATGAGCACATCAAGAATATGACTCTGAAAATACAACACATTTTAAAATATAAGTATAATGATTCTCCAATTTCTTTTTTTTAATTACTCATTTTTTATTATACTTTAAGTTGTGGGAAACTTATGCAGAATGTGCAGGTTTGTTACATAGGTATACTTGTGCCATGGTGTCTTGCTGCATCCATCAACCCATCACCTACATCTATGTTAGGTATTTCTCCTAATGCTATCCCTCCCCTTGCTCCCCACCCAACAACAGGCCCTAGTGTGTGATGTTCCCCTCCCTGTGCCCATATGTTCCCATTGTTCAACTCCCATTCATGAGTGAGTATTCTCCTATTTCTATGCTTACTTCTACTTTACTATGGTAAATAATATTATATACTTTCTATATTTTATCCTATGTAATTTTTTTAACTTGTAGAATTATTTATTATGTTATTTTTATAGGAATATACAAGAAATATTTGAAGTTATATTATACTGATGTTGAATAATGTGCAATGAAAACATTGTATCATTTTTTCTCCTCAAATGTATCTAACATTGAAAAAGCTATATTTTAGATTTTTATATGTCTATATATGCATATAATTACACTATGATATTTATTTATTTTCAAGTAAATGTTATGACATTTTCATCTTTTTATATCATTTAAAAAATTCGAATGTTCAAATAATGTTCTAATTGATAGAGCTATTTTTTTCTCTTTACATATTTAAAAGGTAATATTGTCTTTTGAAGCCTCCTCCAAAGTAGAGATAATACATTACCAGCCCCGTGAAAGACATAATATACTAAGAAAAAATAATTAAGTGAAAATTCCAAAATTATCTACTTAATTAATAGCAAAGACAAAAATTTATCTCCTGACTTCTAAGTTCTAGCATTTTGGAACTAATAATTCACTTCTTCCTAGTATATAAAAAATTTATTCCCAAAATGGTATATCCAGAAGAAAACATAAATGACTTCTTTAAGCAATAAAAACATTACATTATGTGAAAATGTTAAATAAAGAAATAATATAGTTAATTTTTAAATGAAACTCTAAGCATGCTATAAAAATGGCTAATAGTTTTGTGTGTTCTTTTTGTAGCTCATTTATTAACTATTAAGAAAATAAAATTATGAAAACAGAGTTAACATATTTTCACTAACAACAACAGACACCAGGTAACAGGTATCTTTAGAATCCTTAGACCAAACAAACCAAACAAAATCTAACAGTCTAAATTTTATGCTCAGCTAAACTATCATTCAAGTGTAAGTGGGAAATAAGAAATTGGTGGAGAATGATGTCAAGGCATATAAGCCAATAAAACAAAAAAATATCCAATTACCAGGTGAAAATATATATCCAAGAACGCACAAATATAAGTGGATAGAGAAAAAACACTGCTTTGCAAGGTATCAGAATCTGTTTGAGAAAACTGGATGGAAGCAAAGGGCATCTGATCAATTTGAAAACAGGAACACTAGTAAATAAGCAACAAGTGCATTTTGGAAATTGTGTAGGGAAAAACAGTGGGTCAACAGCATGTAGAGAATAGAAGAACTACAGCACTCCCATTTGTGAGACTCATGGCAAATACTGAAAAGGCTGGAGAAAGCTGGGGTCCTGTAAGTTCTTTAAGAAATGAGAATTTCTAACCAGGACAAAACCTCACAGTGAGGAAACACTATTGAGGGCTAAGACCAGATTGAGCACCACAAGGAAAATAGAGGAAAGGAAAAGAGAAGAGACAGCCAAAAGAAGAAAAGGGGACAAAGAGGAAATCCTTACAAGAATAAGACCATATTTTTTATATTGCTTATGAAAGTAAAAGAAGAGCAAGATCTAGAATTATTATGGCAGAAGAACTGTCCCGACACATCTCTCCAGCTTAGAATTTCAGGTACATAATTTCACATAAATACCAGCAATGGAAACATGCCAGGCTGATGCGACTATAAAAGTTAAAATTTTGACTCAATATTTCAAAATCAATGAAAAGGTATTGATAAAATGAAATAATCATATAAACTTAATTACTAAAATTATGCATAATAGTATCACAGCATTCTAAATATATTTTAAAAGGAGTCTTCTCCTTTAGAGATACATACACAAATATTATGCATGATAAATGGCTGTATGTTTATAAAATGAAGCTAAATGATAGGGAAATGTGTGATCATTATACTCTTATGTTTTAACTTTTACATATGTTTGAAATTTCTTAAAAGGAAAAACAAATGGGTTAAATGGGAAATAAGAAAATTTTCCAGATGATAAAAATAACATAAGCAAAACAAAGACAATTTTATAAGGGGTGCTAAGATATTAAAAAGCATTCTGAAATAATTGCAGTAAGTATACGTGAACATATGTGAATATTTCACATGAAATAAAAATAAGATATTAAGTTATTTAATGGGGACAATTGATAGGAGTTAAACCCAATGAGGAATTAGAACATAGCATCTAAAAATAAGAATAAATTAATTTTCACACCATTCCTATTTACCAAAATAGGAAAGTACACATTTTTCAAATATAATATATATTTACCAATACTTTAGGTGATAAAAATTAGTTTATAGTATTTAACGTCCTGCATGATTTGGGCTTATTACATTATGACCACTTTATGAGAGGATAATTTTCCAGGTACATCTTGTGCATTGATTTAATGTAAAAGGACTTTAAGCATCTCTTCAGAAGTCTGCAAGTTGGTATGTATGCCCTTAGTAAAGGAAAGAATAGAAGAAAATGAGCAAAATGCCAAGGTTGCAGCAGTCAACTTGTGAGTTGGGATAGCCCCTGGAAGTCACAATCTTCCCCGGAAATGCAATAGAGAAAGTAACACCTATATTTACAAAATAGTTCTTCTTGGTTTCTGATGTCAGATAGAGTGATTCCTAGCTCATAACTTTTGAGTCCTGTGATGTAGGCCAAATATCTCTACCTTTTTTTCCTTCCTTCCTTCCTTCCTTCCTTCCTTCCTTCCTTCCTTCCTTCCTTCCTTCCTTCCTTCCTTCCTTTTTTCTTTCTTTTCTTTCTTTCTTTCTTTTCTTGTTTTGTTTTGTTTTGAGACGGAGTCTCGCTGTGTCTCCCAGGCTGGAATGCAGTGGCGCGACCTATGCTCGGGGCAAGCTCCGCCTCCCGGGTTCACGCCATTCTCCTGCCTCAGCCTCCCGAGAATGTCCAGGTTTTCAGGGTACAAATAAACTTTTCACAGGAGCACCACGTGAAGATAATAAGACTTCAGGGGAAAAAAAAAAAAAAAAAAAAAAAAACTCTTCAAAATAGAAAGTGAGACCCAGCGAATGCTCCCATTCTCCAAACATGTCATGGACAATCAAAGCTGCTGATCTGAAACAAGCAGGAAGGTTGGGATGCACAAGCATCTCTAAGTTGGACCACTAAGCAGAAGATCCTTTTTTTTTCTTTTTTTGAGCTGGAGTTTCCCTCTTGTTGTCTAGGCTGGAGTGCAATGGCGTGATCTCAGCTCACCGCAACCTCCGCCTCCTGTGTTCAAGCGATTCTCCTGCCTCAGCCTCCCAAGTGGCTGGGATTACAATAGGCATGTGCCACCAGGCCCGGCTAATTTTGTATTTTTTTGAGTAGAGACGGGGTTTCTCCATGTTGGGGAGGCTAGTATTGAACTCCACCCGCCCCGGCCTCCCAAAGTGCTGGGATTACAGGCGTGAGCCACCGTGCCCAGCCAAGATCATTTTTTCTATAGTTGCAAAAGACACAGGACTTTTGCATATCCCAAGGTGCTAGGAATTACTACTGCTGCTGCTGCTATAAGTACTAATATTACTGCTACAACTAGCTAGAACTTAACATACACTTAATATTCACCAGGAACTATTTTAAGCACTTTTATTTCAGCATTCTTCATATAACTTTTTAATTTTCACAATGGCCTTATATGATATGGTGATATAAATATTAACTTGTCCTAGATTGATACCTTGCAAGTTGACTTATTACAAAACTCCATGAAAACTGGCTATTATTAACTGTTGAAGATATTCAATCCTGGAAGAGTTCTGAGGATTCAAATCAGGCTATTCTTCTACCATGTTATGTAAGTTTGCAAGGGCAAATTGTGAGCCCACATCCCTGATTATGCCAGGAAAAAAGCTTGTGATCATGTGGAGCATCTGGAACTCTCATTCATTGCTAGTATAAATGTAAAACAGTACAGTGATCTCAGACGATAGTTTGGCAATTTTCTATAAAACTAAACATACTCTTATCATATGACACAGACGTCATACTCTTTGATACCTACCCAAAGAAGTTGAAAACTTATGTCTACATAAACCTGCATGTGATTGTTTATAACAGCTTTATTTATAATTACCAAAACTTGAAGGCAACCAATGTGTCCTTCAGTAGGTGTGGTATATCTAGGCAACGGAATATTATTTAGCACTAAAATGAAATGAGCTATCAAGCCATGAAAAGACATGGAGGAATACAAAATGCATATTATTAGGTGAAAGCAGTCAATCTGTAAAGGCTATATGTCATGTAATTCCAAATATATGACATTCTCAAAAAGGCAATTCTAAGGATACAGTAAATGGATCCATGGTTGCTAAAGGTTAGAGGGAGGAAGGAATAAATAGGCAGAACACAAAGGATTTTTAGTATGATGAATACACAGGATTTTTATACTATGATTATACTATGATAAATACATATTATATTTGCCTAAACCCATAGAAAGTACAACGCCAAGAGTGGGTACAAACTGTGGATTTTGAGTAATAATGATGTGTCAATGTAGGTTAATCAACTGTAACAAATATACTATATGGTGGAGAATGTTGATAACAGGGGTAACTATGAATATGTAGGTGCAAGGGATACATAGGAAATATCTATACCTTCCATGATATAGTATATTTGGTGGCATCTATTTTTCTTTCAGCATTTTGAGATTATCAGACCATTTTCTCCTTGCCCGTGAATTTTCAGCTGAATAGTACACTGTTAGTAAGATGGAGACCCTTTACAGGTGATTAGATGCTTCTCTCTTGTTGTTTTTAAAATTATCTCTTTGTCATTGACTTTAGACTAGTTGATTACAATATGTAGTGTACAAGACCTTTTGGTATTATATTTGTCTGGAGATCACTGGACCTCTTGTATCTGGATGTCTAAATTGCTTGCTAGACTTCAAAGTTTTCATCTATTATTTCATTAGTTTTTTTTCAAGCACCTACATTTTATCTTCACCTTTGCAGACCAATAATTCCTATATTTGATTGCTTTATGGTGTCCCATTTATCACAAAAGTTTTGTTAATTCTTTTTACACGTTTTTTCTTTATTTTTATTTGACCAGGTTCTTCAAAATACTGTCCTCAGGTTCTGAAATTCTTCCGTTTTGTGTAGTCTGTTGTCGAAGCTTTGAAGTGTACTTTGTATTTCATTCAAGGAATTCTTTATTATAGAATATCTGTTTGATTTTTTACGATATCAATCTATTTGGAAATTTTCTTGTTAATATCTTGAATTGTTTTTATTTTCTGCATTTTTGTTTCAGAATTCTCTTGCATTTCACTGAACTGTAGTCCATAACTTTGAATTCTTTTTCTGGGGTTTTGGGGATTTTCTTTTGTTGGAATCTGTTATTGGGAAATTATTTTTTTCCTATGGAGGTGTCATGTTTCCTTGTTTTTTCATATTTCCTGTGTCTTCACATTGATATCTGCACATTTGTTGTAAGGTACGGCCTTTTCAATGTTTTTTTTTTAAATTTGCTTTCATAGGGAAAACCTGTGACTTCCTTAGCAGTTCAGGCTGCTGTTATTGGTGGAGGCTATAATGAAGTTTTGCTTAGGATTGGGATGCCAGAGGGGGCATTCTTCGGGCTAGAGTTGTGGCAGTGTTGGGCTGAATGTGGTAGTTCTTGGGGCTTGGGTGACGTATCATGGCATTGCTGTTAGTGGGACTATTCATGGGCCTCTAGGTAGTTTGCTCAGGTTCCAGTAGTGGCAGCAGTGAGCTACGTGCATAAGCTCAGGTTCCTGGGCAGCTGTCAAAACATGGGTAATAGCAGTAGTAGTGGCACGAAAACCCTCTGGATACGGAGTAGTATGTACTGGAATTGAAGGTGGCTTTGATGTGGGGTTGGCACCCACAGCACCAGACATGCAGCTCTCAAGCTCACTTCTCCCAGGCTCCAACAGCAGCATCAGTGGCTGCTGCTGCCATGATATGCAGAGGGATGGGAGGTGGGTCCACTCTCTATGCATGGGTCTGAGCATGGAGATCAATATGCTAGTGGGCACAGAGTGACTGCCTCTAGTTTTAGACAGCCAACTCTCAGTCTCACTGCTCTGGGTGCCTAAGGTCATCCCTGTTGCAGGGATATACACAGAAGGGCAAGAATGCCATGCTTACAGGCCTACAGACAAAGTTAGTGCCACTGATAGGAAAGGGGTTGTTTCTCACAGCCCCAGACAGGGAGCTCTAGGGAGATAGAAAGCACACATTTTGGATTTCTTTGTCTCACAAGCTGCCTTTTTGGTGTGCTACACCATTCTTACTGTGCTACTGTTGCACTTTGGGTGGACACTGGAGAATGTCAGTAAGGAGTCCTGGGATGTGGAAGTACGAGGGCTGTGGCTTCCAGGATTGGATGAAGGAAATCATTGTCTTTTCTTGGACTCAGAGAACTAAGGCTGCAGGAAAAATTGGCATGCTGAAATATTTCTGGAGACTTGGAAGTCTGATATTGAGGTGCCAATATCTGGTGAGTGTCTTCTTGCTGTGTCATCACATGGTAAGAGGGAAGGAGAGCGAAAAATCATGTAACTTTCAGAAAAAAAATGACTACTCATTAATCATTTACATACAAATACTGACTAGAATCAGAACTCTTAAAAATCCCAGAAATCACCAATGAGTTAAAGACTTCTGAGATTTACGAAATTCAAGATGATCTTCTAACTCTGAAATGTGGTTTAATGTTACATTTTAATTAGCACTTAAATAAAATATTTTATAAATATGTTAACAACCAATAACAGTGTATGCTGTTTATTGGCTTAAATTTTGCTCAATCACCATGTGATTAGATTTCATGTTAAAACAGGAAACAGAACAATCATGAAAAAAATTCAGTTTCTGTAATATATGAATACATAAATGTACAACACACACTCAACAGGTGAGAAAAATAATAGCAAATTCACCTAAGTAAAATAATTTTAGGGATCAATGATCTTATTTACCTTTCATACTTTTATATGTGAGGCCAATAACAGTAACACCTCTTCCTTTTTCCTTCTATATAATAACTCAATAAGAATTTATTTTCTTTAAGCCACTCAACTTTGAAACCTCAGTTAACTCAGTTTAGACTTCACTTTTACTAATATGACTGGTATGCACACACTTAGAAGAAAACATGTTTACATGTGTTATTAACCTTTCATGTATCCATACAACATCTCATGAAGTAACTTCATAGATGCTGGGATAAAGTTACAGCAAAAACTGTCATATTTATTTTGCAAAGGAAAGATTATATGTTAAGCCTTAATTAGCAAGTAGCAAGTAAATGAAATTTGCTCAAGTAAATGTAAATTCTTGCCTCTTATTCTAGTATATAGATTGGGAGGATAATTTTCTTCCCATAGACAACTGATTCTCTACTATGGATTCAATTATAGATGTTAAAAAAAAAGCTATCTAAATTAGATAATTTTCCTTTTTAATCACCCACATTAATTAATATGATGTCATAAAGCATGCTTATTTGTAGCATCTATAGATCAAAATATGTTTACGTACTCTGACATGATAATTAAGATTATAATTGTAATGGAACGGAGTGGTAGGTAGATTAATGGCCCCACAAAGACATTCATGTACTAATTCCTGGAGCCCGTGAATGTTACAAAAAGTACTTTCCAAATGTGATTAAATTTAAATTTTGAGATGGAAGGTTTGTCTAGGTGGGCCCTACATACAATAATCTGTCCCCTTATATATAGAAAGAAGCGGATATTTGACACATAGAAAGGGGGAAGGCAATGTGACAACAGAAGCATAATTAGAGTGGTGCAACCACAAATCAAGGTATGCCAAAAGATCAGAAGCTCAGAGAGGCAAGAAATGAGTTCTCTGCAAAGCCTCTGAAAAGAATGTGGCTCTACTGACACCATGATCTCAGCAAAGTGAAACTGATTTTGAAATTTTTGCCTCTAGAACTGTAACATAAGAGATACCAAAATGATGGTAATTTAAAGTAATATTGGATAAGTACTATTACCCAAGTACTACAATTAAACCATTATGAATAGGAAATTGCTAGCTATGGCTGAATGCAGAGTTGGAGAAGTTTTAAATGAATAGAAATAAATAAGGCATGACCATATTATTGACAGGATAAAGAGAAGACACATCTAGAAATAGACCTGAAATATATATATATAAATAAAAAAAGTTTCCAAATAGAAAGAATATATCACAATATAAAAGGCAAAAAAGAAATAAAAGGATAGATTGATTGTAATAAAACTTGTTGTTTATAAAGCTGGAAGCTAAAAGTTGAAGAAATAAATATGGACCTTATTTTAAGTCAACGGTTTTAAAGCTCTTTGCACATTAGAATAACCTGAGGGTCTCAAAAAACAGTAGCAACGAGTCAAAACTCTCAGCAAAGATATAAGAATCTCTAAGTAAATCAGTGAATGATACTATTTAGAATTTCTACAGATGATTCTAGTTTTAATGTGCAATCTGACTTTAAAGCAACATCCCACAGACTATTTGAGAAAAAGAATTGCAAGCCGATAATTCAATACTCAGCTAAAGGACATTTTCTGCCAGGGTAAAATAAAGATATTCTGGGAAATAGAAGATTTCAGAGAATATATCACCTGGTAGTATATTTGGGAAAAAAAATCATGAGAAAAAATTATAGCTAAACAATACTTTAGAACCCACTTGTTTACAGGGAAAAATAACGTGCTGGAGATTCTGGTGAGAAATGAGTCTTGCTTAGACATAATCATATGTGAGGGGAAAATGATTAAAAGTAAGAATGTAAAATATAACTGATAAATAATTCAAGATAAAAGAAACATAGAGAAGAAAATATCCAATTAAAAAAATTAAAAGGTATAAACACATCATCAAAACTAGGAACTTATGCTAAGAGGAATGAAGAAGTAAAATTATTTTTAGCTTTTTATCTCACTGAAAGTAAGATCAAAGAGTTTGGTAAAGAAGATAACATAACTTGGCTAGAAATCATGTTTAATATTTTGATTTTCCATTTCAGAAAATAGTAAATAGCCACTTACAGAAAGAAAAATTATGGAAGGACAACCAATTAGGTGAAAAAAATAAAAAAGAAATAAAAATCAATTTGAGTAAGGTGGACACAAATTTAAATAAAAGGTTAAACAAACAAACCAAAAAAGTATACCTAACAAAAGCTAGGGGAATAAAACCAAAATCTGCTAGTTATTATTTGACATATTGACAGGCTGCTGGTACACACAAGTGAGTGTCACTGCCACTGCCTCAATGAAGTGTTTTTGCTGGCATCCCCCACCACAGAGTTGTGGCTAGTGGACTCGGAATACCTCAGCCCCTTCAACACAGCAGGTTTCTAATCTTAAGGGGGCAGAGAACAAAGCTAAGGGCCCAATACCAACCCGCTATAATTAAGCACACAACCCAGGAGTGCTGAGCTGAGGCTTGGCCCTCTAAAATCTTGCAGAAATGAAACCAATTGACTTAATCCACTTTATACCACAGTCAACATACAAGGGCATCAAAGAACATAAAAGAAGAAAACCACACTGAAGGGACAGCAAATTCAAAGACTGAAGGAACATTAGCCCACACAGATGAGAATGAATCAGTGCAAGAACTCTGGCAACTCAAAAAGCTGGAGTGCTTTCTTACCTCCAAATGACTTTACTAGTTCCCTAGCAATGGTTCTCAGCTAGGCTGAAAGGGTTGAAATAACAAAAATATAATTCAGTATATGAATAGGACCAAAGATCATTGAGAATCAGGAGGAGGTAGAAACCCAATCCAAGGAATGTAAGGCATACTATAAAATAACACAGGAGCTGAAACAAAAAAAAACAAATGGCAATTTTAAGAAATAACCAAACTACTCTGACAGAGCTAAAAAACTCACTGTAGAATTTCATAATACACTCACATGTATTAACAGTAGAATTGACCAAGCTGAAGAAAGAATCTCAGAGAATGGTTGATCAAAATAACTCAGTCAGGAAAAAAATAAAGAAAAATAAACAAAACTTTGAGAAATATGGGATTATGTAAAGAGACCAACTCTATGACACTTTGGCATCACCGAAAGAAAGGGAGAGAAAGAAAGCAATTTAGAAAACATTTGAGGATATTATAGATAAAAAAATTCCCCAAACACACTAGAGAGGCCAACATTCAATTTAGGAAATACAGAGAACCTCTGCAAGATAATATACAAGACAACCATCAACAAGACACTTAGTCCTCAGATTTTTCCAAGGATTAAATGAAAGAAAAAGTGTTAAAGAAGTTAGAGAGAAGGAACAGGTCATTTATAAAGGGAACCCTATCAGTCTAACAGTGGACTTTTCAGCAGAAACTCTACAAGCAAAAAGAGACAGAGACCTATATTCAGCATTCTGAAAGAAAAGAAATTCCAACCAAGGATTTCATATTTAGCCGAACTAAATTTCTAAGTGATGGAGAAATAAGATTCTTTTTAGACAAACAAATTCTAAGGGAATTTATTACTAACAGACATACGTTACACGAGGTCCTTAAATAAGTGCTAAGTATGGAAAAGAATGGCTATTACCAGCAACTAAAAAAAATAAATACAGACATACACTATTTGTATCATAAAGCTATGACACAAACAAGTCTGCATAGTAACCAAGTAACAACATGATGACAAGAACAAATTCACACGTATCTATATTAACCTTAAATGTAAATGAGCTAAATGACTCAATTAAAAGGCATACACTTGCAAGTTGGATAAAGTCAGACTCAGTAAATATGCCTAGGAAAAATGAATAAATTTCTGGAAACATACAAACTCTCAAGATTGAACCATAAAGAAACTGAATCCTTGAATAGACCAAAGATGAGTTCCAAAATATTATCAGTAATAAAAAGCCTACCAAGCAGAAAAAGCCCAGCACAAGATAAATTCACACCAAATTCTACAGTATAAATAAAGAAGAGCTGGTACCATTCCTCCTGAAACAATTCCAAAAATAATTGAGAAGGAAAGACTTCTCCCTAACTCATTCTATGAGGCCAGCATCATTCTGCTAACAAATCTGATAAAGACACAACAACAACAACAAAAAGAAAACCTTATTCAATGCCCTTGATGAGCATAGATGCAAAAATCCCAAACAAAATACTAACAAAGTTAATCTAGCAGCACGTCAAAAAGCTATTCCGTCATGATCAAGCAGGCTTTATTCCTGGGATGCAAGTTTGACTCAACATACGCAAATCAGTAGAAGTAATTCATCATATAAACAGAACTAAAAACAAAAAAACATTATTGTCTCAATAGATGCAGAAAAGCCTTTTGATAAAATTTAATATTTCTTCATGTTAAAAACTCTCAACAAACTAGGTATTGAATTAACATACTCAAACATAATAAGAACCATCTATGATGGACACATAGCCAACATCATGCTGTACAGGCAAAACCTGGAGGCATTCCCCTTGAGAACTGGAATAAGACAATGGTACAAATTCTCATCAATCCTATGCAACATATTGCTAGAACTCCTAGCTAGAGCAATCAGGCAAGAAAAAGAAATACAAGGCATCCAAATAAAAAAAGAGTCAAACCATCTCTATTGCAGATTATGTGATTCTATACCTAGGAAACTCCATATTCTCCCTCTCAAAATTACTGATTCTGATAAACACCTTTAGCAAAGTTTCAGGGAAAAATAAAACATTCAAAAATGAATGGCATTTCTATACACCAACGACATCCAAGCTGAGAGCCAAATCAAGAGCACAATCCTATTTGCAATAACCTAAGTAGAATAAAATACCTAGGAATACAGCGAACCAGGGAAGTGAAAGATCTCTACAATGAGAACTAGAAAACACTCCTGAAAGAAATCAGAGACACACTAACAAATAGAAATCATCCCATACTGATGGATAGAAGGAATCAATATTGCTAAAATGGCCATACTTAGAGATTCAAAGCTATTTCTATCAAATTACCAATGGCATTCTCACAGAATTAGAATAAACTATTTAAAAATTTGTATGGAATCAAAAAAGAGCCTGAATAGCCAAAGTAATCCTAAAGAAAAAGCCAGAGTAACCAAAACAGCATGGTACTCCTACAAAAGCAGATGCATGGACCAGTGGAACAGAACAGAGGGCCCAGAAATAAGGCCACACACTTAAAACCATCTGATCTTTGACAAAGTCAATGAACACAAGGGATAGGGAAAGGACTCCCTGTTCAATAACTCGTGCTTGGATAAATGGCTAAAAATACACAGAAAATTGAAACTGAATCCATTCTTTACACTGTATATAAAAATCAAGTCAATATGAATGAAAGGCTTAAATGAAAAATGCAAAACTATAAAAATCATGGAAGATAATCTAGGAAATGCCATTCTGGACATAGAACCTGGCAAAGATTTCATGATGAAGATGCCAAAAGCAATTGCAACGGAAAAATTGACAAATGAGATTGAATTAAATTAAAAAAAAAAAACTTCTGCACAGCAAAATAAACTATTAACAGAGTAAACAGACAACCTACAGAATGGGAGAAAATAGTTATAAACTATATATCTGTTAAAGGTCTAATATCGAGAGTCTACAAGGAACTTAAAGAAGTTAACAAGAAAAAACAAGTAACCCCACTAAAACATGGGCAAAGGACATGAACAAATGCTTTTCAAAATAAGATACATACATGTCCAACAAGCATATGAAAAAATGCTCAAATTACTCATCATCAGACCAATGCAAATCAAAATCACAATGAGATTCCATCTTACAGCAGTTGTAATGGCTATTATCAAAAAGTCAAAAATAACAGATGTTGGAAAGATTGTGGAGAAAGGGAAGCACTTATATACTGCTGGTGGCAATGTAAATTAGTTTACCCATTTTGAAAAACAGTTTGGTGATTTCTCAACTGAAAATAAATAATTAACATTCAATCCAGCAATCCCATTATTGGGTATATACCCAAAGATATATGTATCATTCTACCATAATGACACATGCACATGTACATTCATCAGAGCACTATTCACAATAGCAAATACGTATAATTGATCTAAATGCCAATCAACGCAGATTGGATGAAGAAGATATGGGATATATACACCACAGAATTCTTTGAAGCTATAAAAAGAAAAAGATCATATTGTCTGCAGCAACATGGATGGATCTGGAGTCTATCATCCTAAGCTAGCTAATGCAGGAAAAGAAAAACAAATATCACATGTTTTCAGGCATAAAATGGGAGGTAAACATTGAGTACACTTGGACTCAAGCAAAGGAACAAGAGACACTGGGGCCTGCTTGAGGGTAGAAGGTGGGAGGAGAATGTGGATTAAAAACTACCTATTAGGTACTATGTTTATTTTGTTGGTGATGAAATAATCTGTACCCCAAGCCCATGACATAAAATTTACCTATCTGACATACCTGCTCAGGTACTGCTGAACCTAAATTGAAATTGAAAAAATGAAATAAAATTTTAAACAGACAAAAACTAAATATATGAGATAAAATACATATAGTCATCAAATAAATAGCAACTAAATATATAGTATCAAATTATTAGAAATAAAATGACTCCCTAAAGTACTCTTATTACACTTTTAAATCTCTTCATTTTTGTAAGTTGACACATTAAGTAGCAGTTATTTAAATTGATGATAAAAATGACAACACAAAATGTGTGAAATGACAATTTTTAGATTACTAGTCTAAGGCCCTGACCATTTATGTTCAGTGTTCCTTATTTATTACGACTTTCAAATTTACATGCTTTTTTTCATGTTTCTTGGCGCTTAGATTACTTCCAAGGATTTTCTATTTGCCACATTGTTGTCTAGATTAGCAGTTTTATTTGTCAGCTGTTTATTTGTCTTCTGAAAGATTATTTTCAACAGCCAAGTAAATAACTTATCAATTGTTACACTGTTTATAGATGTAAACTTCTACCATTGGTATATTATCTTTGTTTTTGTCAAAAATATAAAAAAAGATTAAAGTAATGATGCAAGTATATTCTGACAGAAAAGAGCCTTATCTCTTAATTTAGTCATGAAATTCTTTGTTCCATAATCAAATTCATTTTTATGTACACAAAATTACAACAAGAGCTTTAAAGATGAATCCCCATCGTCAGTCCCACAACATTATTCCCAGTGTTTTGTATCATGAAACCAACAATCCAGCAAATAAAATTCCCAATGCTTTTTTCCGCTTCTACTTATCATTATTTTCTGCTGTGAATCTTTATATATTTCTCTCATCTATGTGTGCTACTTAAGTCATTCTAATGTATATTGAGTGTTTCTATTTATTATAAATATGCTTTTCAGATATATATTATCCATGCCCCTTTGATTTTTTTCAAATCAACTTTCATTTTTGAGTAGCTTATAGGTAATATTTTCTTCATTTTAATATAAAGCATTAACAAGCAACACTCGTGCAATTTCCTTTTCCTTCTTTCCTTCTTTTCTTCCTTCCTGCCCAACTGCCTTCTTTTCCTCCATCCTTCCTTTACCTCCATTTGCACCTCCTCCTTTGCTTACTTTCTTTTCTTCTTCTTTCCTTTCCCCATTCCCTCTGACCCCCCTTCTCTGTCTTCCTTCATCTTTCCCTTCTTCCATTTTTGATTTTCCCCTCCTCTTTATTATATTTCTCTTCCTTTCCTCTTTCCTCCTTCTCTGGCTCCTTTTTCTATTTCATGATTGCTCACCTTTCCTGAGGGTATTTATAAGAATATAATAAAGACAATTGATTAAGCTTTTTGATGAGAAAAGGAAAATGGGAAAATTAGATGGCTGTGTAGTTTAGAGTACTGTACTAAAAAAACTTAAAACACCGAACTATTGTAACATTAGTAGCTTCCTACTGTAGACAATAATCCTCTACATTATACCGTATAGTTAAGTCATTTGGTGAGGCTACCTAGTGCTAGTGAATGATCATCTTTAGCATAAGAAGTAAATGGAGTTATGACATAGAATATGCCAAACTGGCAAAATTTTAATAACTGTATTTAAAAGTCAACTACATAAAAATTTAGTACTATCAAAAGACCCTTTTGACACTTCTCACACACAAAAAAAAATACAAATTCTACAACCAGTTTTAAATCTTGGGTATCAGCATTTTGACCTAGGAGTGGTCATTTACTTAGCAATAAAATAGGAAAACTTTATTTTCAGAGAAAATGCAAATATCAATTTCAACAATTACAAAATAAACTCATCTTCTCATACAAACAGTTCTTTTTATAAACCATTTTATTTCTCAAGAATCCATGCTATAATTTTTTTGCTTTTGCTTTTGTTTAAATTTTTTAATGAGACAAGGAGCATAAAGAGGAGTCATTATGGATTTGTTTTCACTATGGATCTCATCCAGAGTTATTACTCAAAATAATGAAAGACCATATCATAATCTGTCTCAAAAATAATGAGTATTGTGTGCCCATGAGGCTTGTAATATCTGTAATTAAGACTTATAAAACTTATATTTGTTCACAAATGTTGATGTATGTGCATAAAATATATGTAGAGTTTCCAGAATAATTAAAAGCAAGCAGCAATGTATCCACCACTCATTTCAAAGAGTAAAGTATTACCATTACTACAGAAGTCCCACAAATGACATTTTCCAAATGTAAAGCCCTACATTTCCCAGAGGAAATATTCTGCTGATTTCAATAGTAACCATATTTTTAATTTTAAATGTACATTCATAAACTATGTGTGCATACTCTTGGTTTTCAGCCCTCATATAAATGTAATCATATTTCATATATTTTCATTAAATATTATTTGAGTTTCATACATGTTGCCTAGAGCTCTATTTTATTTATTTTAATTCACTAATTTCTGTATATTCTACCATAATCTATTTATCAATGTTATCATTTGTTGACAGTTTAAGTCCCATTTTGGCAATTAAAACAGTATGTCTATGAACAAGCTTGTACTTAAATCCTGACACACATATGCAAGAATTTCTCAAGTGTGTGAACTTAAGAGTAAATCACTGATCTTTAGAGTTAATTTTTGTTTGTTTGTGTTTGTTTTTGTTTTGAGACGGAGTTTCACTCTTGTTACCCAGGCTGAAGTGCAATGGCGCGATCTCGGCTCACCGCAACCTCCGCCTCCTGGGTTCAAGCGATTCTCCTGTCTCAGCCTCCCTAGTAGCTGGGATTACAGGCGTGGGCCACCACACCTGGCTCATTTTGTACTTTCAGTAGAGACGGGGTTTCTCTACGTTGATGTTGGTCAGGCTGGTTTCAAACTCCTGACCTCAGATGATCCACCTGCCTCGACCTCCCAAAGTGCTGGGATTACAGGCGTGAGCCACTGCGCCCAGCCAGTTTATGTATCTTTTTTTTAGCGGGGGGATGCAGTTTCCCTCTTGTTGCCCAGTTTAGAGTGCGGTGGCATGATCTCAGCTCACTACAACATCTGTCCCCAGGGTTCAAGTGATTCTCCTGCCTCAGCCTCCCAAGTAGCTGGGATCATAGGTGCCCGCCACCACGCCTGGCTAATTTTTGTATTTTTAGTAGAAATGAGGTTTTGTCATGTTAGCCAGGCTGTTCTTGAACTCCTGGCCTCAGGTGATCCACAGCCTTGGCCACCCAAAGTGCTAGGATTATAGGCCTGAGCCACAGCACCCGGCCTAAAGTTTATGTAACTTTAACTTTACTGGACAATGTTAAATATTTTTCCAAAGTTCTTGGACAATTACATTCACTGGCAAAGTGCATGTTTGTCCCCTACTCCACACCTATGCTTAGGATTTTCAGAATTAAATATTTTTGGCCAATATATAAGGAGTGTAAATCTATCATACTGTGGTTTTAATGTACATTTCTCTTAGGACAAACACACTTTCCAGATCTTTTGTGGGAATTTGGATTTCTTCTTTGTGATGTGATATCCCTACTAAATTATTTTGCTAATGGTGGAGTGCTATTTTTATTTTTTCCTATTTATTTTTAAGAACTTACCATATTTTCTGGCTTACATTTTATTCTCATTATGGTGTCAACTGATGAACAGAAGTTTTTCTAAATGTCAAATTTGTGAATCTCTTTTAGTGTTTATGCTTTTAATATTGTGTTTAATATATTATTTCCTACATTGAAATTAAAATATTGATATTTATACTAAGATTGAATAATCTTTTTTCACATTTCTTAACCTATCTATATTTTTTGCATAATGGGAGTTAGTAGTTATTTATGTTATTCTACATAGCTGTTTGATTTTCCCAGCACTCTTATTTAAAAAAACAGACAGAAAATAAAACCTTTAATGCTCTGATCTGAGACAAGGTCTCCCTTATACATTAAGATAACCTCTATGTTCGTAAGACTTCCTGTTTTATATTCTGTCAATTGATCTGTATCTTGATTTATGCAAAGCAAGCTTCACTTTATTTTCTCTTGTCATCTTCAGAGTGTTGGTAATTCTTCACTTGTACTTCTTATCGGATCTTCTCTCTCTCTCTCTCTCTCTCACCGCACCCCCACCCCCCCACACACCCCCTTTGTGGTACTTTGATTTAAATTACACTGAAAGATAAATTCAAAATATTGGATCTTTGTATTATATTCAATTTTACAACCTGTAAATATAACTATAAATATGAAATATAACACCATTTATTTAGTTTTTAATGTCTCTCAATAAACTTTTACAATTTTTTATAGAGTTTCTTACATTATTTTTTAGATTTATTACTATTTATCTTGGAGTTTTATGCTATTTCTTGTTCGTTCCTGGAATGTAGAGATAAAAAGAATCATATTAGTAATAAAATAATAATTAGAAACTTTGCCAAACTCCCTTATTATTATAATTTATATGTAGCTTATTTTGAAATATAGTATATAGTATATGTATTATATATATGTGAAATTGCCCAGTAATAAAGGCTTTCTTTCATACTGTTGATCCTGACATTGTTTATTACTCTTCCTCTTATCCTGTTTAGTTAGAACTACTATGATACATAGCAGTTGTATTAGCAGGCATTGGTGTCTTGTTCTTGTCAAAAGGTAAGCTTTCAATCCACTAATAAAAATACTTGTCTTTGTAGAAATTTTTATTAGCTAAACACATTTCTCCACATTAATACTTAACTTGGAGACATTTTAATCAAGAAAGTGTTGTGACTTCTTATTTTTGTATCTATCTGAATAAATATGTACTTTTTCCACCTCTGATTCATATATGTGTTGCTTTATATCAACTGATTTTTTTTTTAATTTGACCAAATCGTGAACCCTGGGACATACCCTACTAGGTAATAATGTATCTTCTTCTTTATATAGTTCTGGGATTGATTTGGTAAGTATTGGTTTGAATTTTTACACCTTTGTTGATGACTAAAAATGGCCTATAATTTTATTTTCTCAGGCTTACCATATTGTTGGTATCAAAATATTTTTAGCTGCTAGGAAGTCTTCTCATTATTTTATTTAAGTATTTGTACTACATTGCTAGTATTTTCCCTTGAATGTTTGGCTGAATTCATTTGAAAAACCACTTATTTCTGTAATTTATATGTGAGATGCATTTTTATTAATATGATATAATTTGGTAAGTTTGACAAGAAACATTTTATGCAAACATAAATTGTCATATTCATTTTATCTCCATATTATCTTTTTAATATTTATGAATCTGTAGTGATTTTCTGTTTTCAGTCCTTGAATTAGTTATCCGGGCTTTCTCTGTTTTTCTTTTTTGTCAGTCTCTTCAGAGGTTTATCTATTTCATTAGTATTTACAAAAGTTTTTGGACCATGTTGATCTCCTTTATTGTTTGATTTTTCTCTCATATACTAATTTTCATTCATACTTGTGCTCTTTCCTTCTCTTGTCTTCAGGTTTATTATGATAACTTTCATGCATTTTCATTTGATACATGTAAAGGTCATTAATCTTTGCCTTTTTTCTAATGTATGTATTTGAGGCTAGTCTCTCTGATAATTTTTCTAATAAACCACAATTTAAGATATATATTATTGGGCCAGGTGCAGTGGCTCACGCCTGTAATCCCAGCACTTTGGGAGGCCGAGGCAGTTGGATCTCCTAATGTGAGGAGTTCAAGACCAGCTTGACCAAGATGGTGAAACCCTGTATCTAAAATATAAAAATTAGCTGGGCATGGTGGCAGGTGCCTGTAATCCCAGCCACTCGGGAGGCTGAGGCAGGAGAATTGCTTGGACATGGGAGGAGGAGCTTGCAGTGAGCCGAGATTGTACCATTGCACTCCAGCCTGGGCAACAGAGCAAGACTTCATCTCAATAAATAAATAAATAGTATATTATTTACCATAGACTCAGATAAAATTTTTAGCAATGTTCAAGATTATTTCTACTTTGCCCATGTATATTTTTGACTTTCCAGAAAATAGTGGGACTTTTATAAATCTCCATACATTTGTCTAGCAATTATGAAAATCAATGTAGATCAACAACAAAAGTAAAATCAGAATCTTTTATCATTCTAAAGTAGGGTTGGGAACTTCTCATTAAAAGTTAATACACTCTTTTACTAACTTCTCACGGCATGCAGTTGCAGCTGGGCAGCTTGGACTCAGCCTACTGATTGAGTCCTAGGAGAAAATGATGCTACTCAACAACAAATATGAGCTGGCTAGACAAAACTGCACCTAAATTTACAACATGTTGTATTGCTAATTTATTTCAGCCCTAATCTCAACAAGGGATGTGTATTAGTCTGGTCTCATGCTGCTAAAAAGGACATACTCGAGACTGGGTCATTTATTTTTAAAAAAGAGGTATAATGAACTCACAGATTCACATGGCTAGGGAGGCCTCACAATCATGGCGGAAGACAGAGGAGGAGCAAAGGCATGTCTTACCTGGCAGCAGGCAAGAGAGTGTGTGTAGGGATACTACCCTTTATAAAATCATCAGATCTTGTGAGACTTATTCACTATCACGAGAATAGCATGGGAAAAACCTGCCCCCATGATTCAATTACCTCCCACTGGGTCCCTCCCATGACATGTGGGAATTATCCGACCAGCAATTCTAGAGGACATTTGGTTGAGGACAGAGCCAAACAATATAAGGAGGTGTTTGTGGTTCTCTAATTCTATATCTTAAAAGCCCTGCCACTCAATGGTCAAATGTTATTTTCTGGGATCTAACTTACAGACCACTAGATTGCTCTATATTAATCCTGAGTGGGCAACAGGGAATCCATGTACTTGCCACTGCTGCTCTTCTAGGATTTTTCCTTGATAACTATTGTTCCATAAGGTCTGGTGCATGATCTGCCTGGTTATCCACCATTGGTTCCCAGATACTGTTTTTTTGGTTTTGCTTTGTTTTGTTTTTTGTCTTAAATACTGATCGCTAATATTAATATATCTGAATCAAAATTTTAATATAAATGGTTTGTTACTTAATATTTTACCCTCATAATTTAGATATAGATCTTGTGAATAGCATAGTAAAGATTATTTGTATTTTGAATAATTTAATTGATTTATGTGTAACTAATAAACAAAGCACTGTGCTTTGAGACACATGCTCTCCCTTCTGTGTCCAAGATGACAAATTATTCCCCAATATCAATTCTTTCCTTTTTTAGGAACAGAAACCTTGGTACCATCTTGGCTCCCCATATACAAAATATATTTCCTAGTCATCTTTACCTCCACATGTGGCCATGTGATTGTTTCAGCCAACATTTACTGATGAAAAGTGATGCAGACAACTTTTGATATATTGCTACAAAATACCTCTGTTCTATATTCGCCCCTTTTTTAAGAAGCTTCTTCTGTAATCTTAGATGTACAGTAGGAGCCAGCCAAATGGTAAAATGAGATTAAAGTACTATTTCAATAAGCTCCTTCCCTCAGTGAAGAGAAATGATGATGCAAGGAACACAGAGAACAAAAACCAGAGGTCCATTGTTATTGAAAAAAAAAAAAAACTAGGTAAAAATAAACAAAGTGTCAAAGTGAGACCCTTGAGTGTACTTATTAGTATTTGGAATTTTATTTTAACAAACTGATAGTCTTCTACTGTTTAAAGGTAGTTTATCTCCAGTGTTTGACCCTTAAAAGATCTTTGAACCCCAAATACACCTATAGAAAATAATGGGATACAGCATTGCACAACTCCAATGTTCAAATTGATTGTCTTCAGAGAAGGTAATGGGCAAGAAACGCTCTCCAGAGATCAAGGCCAGGGCCACAGAGAACAATGAGCAAGAGAGGAGAATCGGCGTTGTCACTTGGGCATACCTTTTTTCAATGTTTAGGAAAGGAAATTTTTATAATTACTGCAATTTGTTCATTATCATGAACTAGTACTTGATTTATATTTCATGTAGTCCCATTTTAAAAAGAAGATTTTAACTATGGTAATTGTTTGCTAATTCACCATGTTACATTTTGTATTAAGAACAGATCATTATTTTTTTACGTAGACCATTTCCCATAAACCAAAGGTCCTGACTTTGAGTAAAATAAAGTGAATCATTAGGGCATACCATTGTCATTATCTCATTTTAAGAGTGAGTGAGAGAAGAAGGGTGAGATAGTGAGAAAAATTATATTTGGCACAGCCAATAGTGAAGCAGCAATATTCATAAAACAAGTACTTCTAGACCTACAAAAAATTAAACAGCAATATAATAATGGTGGGGGGATCTTCAACACCCGCTGACAGCATTAGACTTATCATTAAAGCAGAAAACTAGCAAAAAAAATGTGTACTTAAATTTGACACTTGACCAACTGGACCTAACAGATTTCTACAGACTACTCCACCCATCAACCATAGAATATACATTCTTCTCATCTCTACACGAAATATACACTAACATCAACCATATGCTTGGCCATAAAGCAAGTCTGAATAATTTTTTTAATCAAAATTTTACCAACCATACACTCAGGCCATAGTGGAATAAAAATAGAAGTGAATACCAAGAAGGTCTCTCAAAACCACACAATTGTATAAAAATTACATGGAAATTAAACTTGCTCCTACGTGACTTTCGGGTGATATACAAAATTAAGGCAGAAATCTAACAAATACTTCAAATAAATGAAAACAGAGGCACAACATCACTACATACCAAAATATCTCGGATGAAGCAAAAGCAGTGATAAGATTGCTCTGAATGCCCACATCAAGAAGAAAGCTCTCAAATTAATATTCTAACATTACACCTACAGGAACCAGAAAAAAGGGTAAAAACCCCAAAGCTAGCAAAATAAAAGAAATAACTAAAATCAGAGCAGAACTCAATGAAATTGAGATCCAAAATTCCATACGAAAGACCAATGAAACTAAAAATTAGTTATTAGAAGGGATAAAGGAGACTGACAGACAGCTAGATTAACAAAGAGAAAAAGGGAGAAAATCAAAATAAGCACAATCAGAAATAACAAAGTTGATATTACAACTGATCCCACAGAAATACAAAATATCCTCAGAGACCATAAGAACACCTCTATGCACACAAACTAAAAAACTTGGAGGAAATAAATTCCTAAAAACATACAACCTCCAAAAGTTGAATTACGAAGAAATCAAAACCCTAAAGAGATGAATACTGAGTAATAAATTGAATCAGTCATAAAAAACCTACCCACCAAAAAAGCCCTGGACCAGATGCATTCATAGCCAAATTTGACCAGATGTACAGAGAAGAGCTGGTACTACTAATACTGAAACTATTCCAAAAAATTGAGGAAGAGGGACTTCTTAGCTCATTTTGCTAAGCCAGCATCACCCTGATACCAAAACCTGACAAAGACACAATGAAAAAATAAAACTATAGGCCAGTATTCCTAATGAACATAGATGCAAAAATCCTCAAGAAAATACTAGCAAACTGAATCCAGCAGCACATCAAAAATTAATTCATCACAATCAAGTGGGCTTTATTTCTGGGATGAAAGGTTGGTTAAACATATGCAAATCAGTAAATGTGACTCACCACATAAAAGAATTAAAAGCAAAAAACATATGATTACCTCCATAGACACAAATAAAGCTTTTGATAAAATCCAAAATCCCTTCAAGATAAAAAATCTCGAGCAACTACACATTGGAAAAACATACCTCAAGAGCCAGCTATTACAAACATACAGCCAACATCATGCGGAATGGGCAAAAACTGGAAGTATTCCCGTTAAGAACAGTCGCAAAACAACAATGCCCACTCTCACCACTCCTACTCATCATAGTACTGGAAGTCCTATCCAGACGGTAAGGCAAAGGAAGAAAATAAAAGGCATCCAAATAGAAAAATAAAATGTCAAATTATCCCTCTTTACTGATGATATAATCCTATACCTAGAAAACCCTAAAAATTCCACCAAAATGCTCCCAGACCTGGCAAAAGACTTCAATAAAGTTTCAGGATACTAAATCAATGTACAAAAATCAGTAGCATTTTTATACCCCAATAACATTTAAGCTGAGAGCCAAATCAAGAATACAGGCCTATTCACATCTGCCAGTAAAAATCCTAGGAATATAGCTAACCAGTGAGGTGAAAGATCTCAACAATGAGAATTACAGGACACTGCTCAAAAATATCAGAGATGACACAAACAAATGGAAAAACAATACATGCTCATGGATAGGAAAAGTCAATATCGTTGAAACAGCCATACCACCAAAAGCAATTTAGATTCTATGCTATTCATATTAAAACTATAAATGGCATTCTTCCCAGAGCTAGGAAAAAATTATTTTAAAATTCATATGGGCTGGGCACAGTGGCTCAAGCCTGTAATCCCAGCACTTTGGGAGGCTGAGGTGGGTGGATCACTTGAGGCCAGGAGTTTCAGACTAGCCTGGCAACCATGGCAAAACCCCGTTTCTACTACAAATATAAAAATTAGCCTGATGTGGTGGCGTGTGCCTATAATCCCACCTACTTGGGAGGCTGAGGCATAAGAATCTCTGGAACCTGGGAGGCGGAGGTTGCAGTGAGCTGAGATTGTGCCAGTCCATCGTGGGTGACAGAGGCTCTGCCTCAAAAAAAAAAAAAAATTATATGGAACCAAAAGAGATTCTGAAGAGCCAAAGCAATCCTAAACAAAAAGAACAAACGTGGAGGCATCATATTACCCTACCTCAAACTATACTAAAAGTCCATGATAACCAAGACAACACGGTCTGGTATAAAAACAGACATGTAGACCAAAGAAACAGAATAGAGAGCCCAGAAATAAGGCAGTAAACCTACAACCATCGTATCTTCAACAACATCAACAAAAATAAGCAATGGTAAAAACACAAGGACATTTTGAGGTATATGGGTTTGCATGGTTGGCCTTGATCTCAGGGCGGTGGGAATCATTTGGAATACCTATGGTGCAGAAAGGGAGAAGAGGAAATAAAAGGATAGTGTAATAAAAGTAGTCAATTTATCAACCTGTTGGCAGCAATCTTCCAGAAAGCCTCCATTGAGAAAGTAGGCAACAAACTAATGACTAAAATTAGAGTTCGACATGATTAGCTGTCATTTACTCACATTATCTTTCCAGATCTATCATGGTAGCCTTGCTCTATACATTGCATAAGGCAGGGCTCAATCAGAAAAGTGTAATCGTCATTCAGGAAGCAGAGCAACAGATTTCTTTTAAAATGTGGATTAAGCCTTAAGCAATTGTGGGAACTGATGGAGAAGTCTATGCCAGACAGTTGTCTCTGCTTCTGGTATTGGGACTGAAGTTGTTGTAGGCCAGTGGGAAAGGAGAAAGAAAAAAAAAGCAATGGGAAAAAGATACCCTATTTAGTAAATGGTTCTGGGATACTTTGGCTAGCCATTAATAGAAGAATGACACTGGATCCCTACTTTTTACCATATACAAAAATTAACTCAAGATAGATTAAAGGTTTAAATGTAAGACATCAAATGATGAAAATTCTAGAAGAAAACCTAGGAAAAACCATTCTGGACACTGACCTTGGCTAACTTACGACTAAGTGCTCAAAAGCAATTGAAATTGACAAGTGGGAACTAATTAAATGAACAAACTTCTGCACAGCAAAAGAAACTTTCAACAGAGTAAACAAACAACCCACAGAATTGGAGAAAATATTTACAAACTATGCTTCCAACAAAGGTCTAATATTCAGAATCTATAAGGAACTTAACAACTCAACAGGACAAAACCAAATAACTCCATTAAAAGTGGGCAAATGATATGAACAGATATTTCTTAAGACACACAAGTGGCCAATGAAAATAGAGAAAATGGTCAAATCGCTAATCCTCAGAGAAATGTAAATTAAAACCACAATGAGACACCTTCTCAAACCAGTCAGAATGGCTTTTACTAAAAAAGACAAGATGCTGGCAAAGCTGCAGAGCAATGGGAACTCTTATACACTCTTGGGGAAATGTAAATTTGTTTAGCCACTTTGGGAAGCAGTTCGGAGATTTATCAAAGACCTAAAACATAGAACTACTATTCAACTCAGCAAGCCTATTACTGGGTATATGTGGAAAAGAAAACACATTATTCTACAAAAAAGAGACAGGCACTCATATGTTCATCACAGCACTATTCAGAATATTAAAAACATGAAATCAACTTTGCTGCCTATTAATGGTAGGTTGGATTAAGAAAATGTTGTACATATACACTGTGGGGTAGCATGCAGTCATAAAAAAGAATAAAGTCATGTCCTTTGCAGCAACATGGATGCAGATAGAGGCCATCATCCTAGGTGACTGAATGCAGAGACAGAAAACCAAATACATATATTCTCACATATATATAAGTGGGAGCTAAACATTGGGTATACACGGACATAAAGATGGGAAATATAAACAATAAGGACAACTAGAGAGGGTAAATGGAAGGGAGAACAAGAGTAGAAAAACTATTTGTTAGTGTGCTTACTACCTGGGTGACACAAGCATTTATATCCCAAGCCTCCGTGTCATGCAATGTACCCATGTAACAGGCCGCACGTGTACTCTCTAATCTGAAATATAGTTGAGATTATTTTAAAAAACTATATTTGGATGGCAGAGGTGGTGAATAATGAAAGTTATTCTAAGTTACCCTCCAACACTTACTTTCTCCCATTTCATTAAATAATAGAGCTTCTGTCAGTTTAATTGTTCTCTTAGTTGCAAAGATAAATACCATATGCCTCGGCTTCCTTTGCAGTTAGATGTGTGTATATAACTATGTTCTAGCTAACAGAGTGGGTGATATGTACAAATTACTGATTCAGGCTTAAAGAAAGAAATCATGGCCTTCATTCATTTTCTCCCTTTTATGCTACCTGAAATATAAATATGATGCCTTATGCAAAGATATTATACACTTGCCTTATGCAAACATATCAAAGCCACATGTGAAGAATGACAGAGTAACAAAACAGAAAACACTTGTGTCCCTAACTCAACGCTACCACAGTTATAGCCCTGAACTGCCTATGATACAATTATTTTACAGTTATAGAATACTTCCATCTTGTTTAAGCCAGTGTTGTTTTTGGAACTCTGTTACAGCATCCTGAGCTTGTATTATACCTAGCATAGAGTTTAGTAGCTAAATATGGCTGTTGCAACAAATCCAAAACATATACCATTGTCATAAGCTTTGTCCTAAGCAATCCACTCCCTGCCAATCAAATGTTCTTCTGTAAGATGTTATTACAAAAATGGTAGACTAGTTTCTTTCTCCTTAATATTTTTAAATATAAATTTCCTTGTCATCAATACAACAACAGCTGGGCATTGGCCTAAATCTTTTGTTTGAACTACTTTATTTGATTTCCATTAAGAAAATACCATTTTATCCCATTTTGCAGGTAAATAAAATGTGTAAGTCATTTTCTCAAGATCTACAGGTAAAGCTAGTAAGTGTAGAGTCAGAATCCACCCAAGGAGGTCTGACTCCAAAGTTTACATTCTGAATCAATATATTATGATATGCTAGGATATATTACTTCTTTTCTACATGGTAGATTGGAAGGAGAAATAAATGTATTTAGCTACTAATTTAGAAATAAAGACATTATTTTCCACTTGGGTAAAAGTACAATGACCTACTAAAGTTGTTCTATCCAAATTTGTTTGTTGAATTTGTTATCAGCAGAAGTGAATTTTTAGCTGTATCTATTAGTGAGTTCCATGTCACTCACTATAGCATTTTCTTGAAAATAATGATTGCTAAAAAAAAAAGAAAATAGAGATAAAAATCAATGAATTTTATATGCTATTTCAGCAACTAGAGAAATTGGGGAATGAAATGAACAGTTAATATGTACAGTGAGTTTCCTAACACAAGCAATGGATAACCATCTGTCAAAAATACTGTAAGAAGAATTTCATTACACAGTGATAAAATGGACAATATAAATCTAGGGATCTAGTGCCATTTCTAGTCCTTTCACTTTACAATGTTTGTGTAGGATCAAATGCTTTGAAATTGAAGAAAAAGAGGATAAATAAAGGGGTTTCTGTTGGTGGATTGAATATACTTGTGAGTGTATGAATAAAAATATATATGATATAAAAGTATACATTTAGATATGTGTTTGTGTATAAAAATATATACTACATTTATCAATACATATGCTATATTTACCTATATACCCATATGTGCATGGGTGTATAATATAAATATATACTACATATATATGGGTAATATTATATATGTAATATATATTTGTATGTAATATTATCCAATTATATGTAAGATGTATTTATGTATATATGGCATATATACATTTATATATATCAGTATATATAAAACTGTACATATCCATGTACATGTCATTGTATATATATAAATATGATAAGAAACAGGCTTGAGTTGCAGGTTTCTATGATGATGGTTACCATCCAGGAATATATAACTTAAGAAATATTAACAAGTATGTGAGGGCAGTAGATTAAATATTGAGGTTCTTGTGAGGCAGAAATTTAGAACTGAGATTCTACTTATAATTGAAAACTTGAGAGAGCCTCAGTATGAAATGTTAAGCAAAATGTTCTGTATCATTTTAAATAGAAAATTTAAAGTATTTATTAATCTCTGGGATCTGCATGGAAAAGTTTTCTCTCAGGAGCAAAAGTAATCAAAAATTGCATTTCATATAAAATGTGGAATACTTCATAGCTTAGAAATTTTAATTCAAAGTGATCTTGAATATATATATAGAGAGAGATCTTAACAAAGAAGATTGAAAAAAGAATACCCTTCTTCATGGTGCTGTTCTACCATCTAATCCAATGGGGAACCTCAGAATGAAAGCAAGACATGATAATATAAGTTTACAATTATTGATGGCAGCAGTGGCCCATCTGAAGTGGCCACACTGTGAAGGCACAGGCTGCAGAAAGGGAGGTGCAGCTTGGCCTGTGTACTCCATGGAGCTGGAGGGAGCTGGGAACAGGCAGGAGACCCGCCTCCTTCTGAGTTGGTGGGGAAGGAGCCTGGTACTCCCAGGTAGAGCTGCAGTCACGCAGCTGTAGCTGCAGACCCAGTCATCCTTGCACTCTTGGGGGCCCAGGAAGTCCCCAAGCAGCCTCAGGCTCAGAAGCACCTGCTCCAGCTGCCTGGCCTCTCCCCATACCCAGTGCCCAGTCTGGGTTGGAGCAAAGTTGTGGTCAAGCCTGGGCACTGTCACAAACTGGCCACATGTGCATGCAATCAGGCTGGCACGGACACACCAGCCCTCTGCCACCTTGGCCTCCTCTGAACTTTGCTTTGGGCACCAATAAATGTGGTAGGAAGTGGGGGGGGGCTAAGAGCAGATTGGTGAATGCCTGCAGGTGCCCCTGGGCAGGAACATCCTGGGTGCTGTGCATGACGTGATTGATGGTGGCAGGAGGCAGACAGGCTCTTGAGTGGAAAGGGGTGGGTCCCCAACATAGTCCCACCTTTAAGCCAGGGATGGCCTGAAGCCTGGGAGCCCGGCTATCAATTCCAGGTGGAGTCTATAGCCCAGAGTGAGAATTTATGGTGGTTTTTCTGGGCCCACCCATGGCTGCCCATGGAACAATCAGCACACCTTTCCTCCCTTCTGAGCCCATAAAAACCTCAGATTCAGCCAGACTCAGAGACTCAGGACTACCAGCTCTGGGAAGCAGCTACCCAATTTAGGTGTCCTCCACTCATCAGGACAACCTGACTGCAGAAAGGAGCTACCCTCTCTGGGTCTCCTCTCCACTGAGAGCTGAACACTCATTGGGATGACCTGCCTAAAGAAAGAAGCTACTCAGTCCAGTTCTCCTATCCACTGACAGCTGGATACTTTCTGGATACTTCTTGTGGATAGGAGCTATCCACTCCAGGTCTCCTTTCTTCTGAGGGCTGCACTCATCAGCACTACCTACCTGCCTGCAGAAAGGAGCTACTCTGGTTTCTTCTCTGCTGAGGGCTGGACACTCACTGGGACAACCTGCCTACAGATAGGAGCTACACATTCTGGGTCTTCTCTTTGCTGAGGGCTGCACTTCTCAGGACTACCTGCCTGTGAAAAGCAGCTATCCATTCTGGATCTCCTCTCTGCTCAGAGTTGGACACTCACTGAAATAACCTACCTATGGAAAGGAGCTACCCACTTCGGGTCTCCCAACAACTGTTCTTTCACTCAATGAAGCTCCTCTCCACCTTGCCCACCCTCCAGTTGTTGATGTACCTCATTCTTCCTGGATGCAGGACAAGAACTCGGGACCTGCCAAATGATGGGACTGAAAGAGACATAACACAAACAGCTGAAATGTCCGGGTCCCCACTTGCCACATTATGGGTCATGAAAAGGATATAACAGCTGCAGCCATTTGGGAAGCCCATACCTAGGGACTCCCTGAGCCAGGGTTGTGACACCCTCTTTAGGACTCTGTGGTATCTGGCCTGTCCAAGATTCTAGGCCACCATCATGTTCCCCTTGTCCAGATGTGGGTGCCCACAGTGGAAGCCACTTGCAGTGCATCCAATCTAGGTGCAGGCTTGCATGGAGCCAGCACCTGTGCCAGCACCCGGAGCTGCCCACCCTACCACAGCAGCCGGTATGCCTGGCTGTGCTCAGTAACCAATCCCCATGCTTACTTACTTATGCACCCCTCTCTGGCTCACCCTTGGCAGGTGTGGGATCTGGGCTGGTAGCATGAGAGGAGAGCAGCCTCCCAGGCTAAGTCAAAGGAATGAGACCAGCAGGCCTGAGCAAAACTTGAGCAAAGGCTCCATCAGCCACAGAGTTTTCCATCTAGAAAAGAAACACCCTAAGTATACCGAGACATTATTAACTATTAAACCTCCAAATAGTTTAACCACCAGAAGCAATTTTATCTTATATGTTGAGTGAGATAAGTGCAAATAATTTTGTATTATCAAACATTAATCGATGTTATTCACAGTTATTCATTACAATTCTAATAGAGAAAGTATTTCTAAAAGAAGCAAGTGGAAACCGAAAGAAGATGCAATAAATACTTTATCTTTTAAAAAATATCAAATGTATTGGCAAATAACACATGAGCGAGATGATATCTTATGTTTTCAGTTTGCATTTTCCTGATGATTACTGATGTTGAGCATTTTTTTCATACACCTGTTGGCCGTTTGTTGCCATTTGTATGTCATCTTTTGTGAAATGTCTATTCAGATCACCTGTTCATTTTAAAATTGGATTATTTATGTCTTTTTGCTATTGACTTGTTTGGATTTCTTCTGTATTCTGGTTATTAATTCCTTTCAAATCAACAGTTTGCAAATATTTTCTCTCATTCTGTGGGTTGTTTCTTTACTGTGTTGATTTCATGAGGACTGTAAGTAGAATAGTGGTTACCAGAAGCTGGGAAGACACTTGGGGTGGGGGGCAGATGAAAAGAAGGTAGTTACTGGATACAAAAATATAGTTGGAAATAATAAATTCTAGTGTTTGATAGCACAGCAGGGGGACTGTCATTAACAATATTTTCTCATGTATTTCAAAATACCGAGAAGAGAAGATTTGGAATGATCACAACAGAAAAAAGTGATAAACTTTTAAGTTAATGGATATCCCAATTACATTAATTTGATGATTACACATTGTGTGCATTTATCCAAATAGCACATGTACCTCATAAATTTGAACAACTATTAGGTATCAGTAGAAAATAAACAGAAAAAATAGCATATAACCAGAAAGGAGGTTATCAATGTTAAAGCAGTTTCCTTTAATATTTAGGAGTAATATAAGACTACTTATTGATCGAGGAGCTAAGATGGCCAACTAGGAACAGCTCCCCTCTACAGCTCCCAGCGTGAGCGACGCAGAAGACGGGTGATTTCTGCATTTCCATCTGAGGTACCGGGTTCATCTCACTAGGGAGTGCCAGACAGTGGGCACAGGTCAGTGGGTGCACGCACTGTGCACGAGCCGAAGCAGGGCGAGGCATTGCCTCACTCGGGAAGCACAAGGGGTCAGGGAGTCCCCTTTCCTAGTCAAAGAAAGGGGTGACAGACAGCACCTGGAAGATCGGGTCACTCCCACCCGAATACTGCGCTTCTCCGACGGGCTTAAAAAACCGCGCACCAGGAGATTATATCCCACACCTGGCTTGGAGGGTCCTACGCCCATGGAGTCTCGCTGATTGCTAGCACAGCAGTTTGAGATCAAACTGCAAGGTGGCAGCGAGGCTGGGGGAGGGGCGCCCGCCATTGCCCAGGCTTGCTTAGGTAAACAAAGCAGCCCAGAAGCTCGAACTGGGTGGAGCCCATCACAGCTCAAGGAGGCCTGCCTGCCTCTGTAGGCTCCACCTCTGGGGGCAGGGCACAGACAAACAAAAAGACAGCAGTAACCTCTGCAGACTTAAATGTCCCTGTCTGACAGCTTTGAAGAGAGCAGTGGTTCTCCCAGCACACAGCTGGAGATCTGAGAACGGGCAGACTGCCTCCTCAAGTGGGTCCCTGACCCCTGACCCCTGAGCAGCTTAACTGGGAGGCACCCCCCAGCAGGGGCAGACTGACAGCTCACATGGCTGGGTACTCCAACAGACCTGCAGCTGAGGGTCCTGTCTATTAGAAGGAAAACTAACAAACAGAAAGGACATCCACACCAAACACCCATCTGTACATCACCATCATCAAAGACTAAAAGTAGATAAAACCACAAAGATGGGGAAAAAACAGAGCAGAAAAACTGGAAACTCTAAAAAGCAGAGTGCCTCTCCTCCTCCAAAGGAACACAGTTCCTCACCAGCAATGGAACAAAGCTAGATGGAGAATGACTTTGACAAGCTGAGAGAAGAAGGCTTCAGATGATCAAACTACTCCGAGCTACGGGAGGACATTCAAACCAAACGCAAAGAAGTTGAAAACTTTGAAAAAAAGTTTAGAAGAACATATAACTAGAATAACCAATACAGAGAAGTGCTTAAAGGAGCTGATGGAGCTGAAAACCAAGGCTCGAGAACTACATGAAGAATACAGAAGCCTCAGGAGCCAATGCGATCAACTGGAAGAAAGGGTATCAGCGATGGAAGATGAAATGAATGAAATGAAGTGAGAAGGGAAGTTTAGAGAAAAAGAATAAAAAGAAACGAGTAAAGCCTCCAAGAAATATGGGACTATGTGAAAAGACCAAACCTATGTCTGATTGGTGTACCTGAAAGGGACGGGGAGAATGGAACCAAGTTGGAAAATACTCTGCAGAATATTATCCAGGAGAACTTCCCCAATCTAGCAAGGCAGGCCAACGTTCAGATTCAGGAAATACAGAGAACGCCACAAAGATACTCCTCGAGAAGAGCAACTCCAAGACACATAATTGTCAGATTCACCAAAGTTGAAATGAAGGAAAAAATGTTAAGGGCAGCCAGACAGAAAGGTCAGGTTACCCTCAAAGGGAAGCCCATCAGACTAACAGCAGATCTCTCGGCAGAAACTCTACAAGCCAGAAGAGAGTAGGGGCCAATATTCAACATTCTTAAAGAAAAGAATTTTCAACCCAGAATTTCATATCCAGCCAAACTAAGCTTCATAAGTGACGGAGAAATAAAATACTTTACAGACAAGCAAATGCTGAGAGATTTTGTCACCACCAGGCGTGCCCTAAAAGAGCTCCTGAAGGAAGCACTAAACATGGAAAGGAACAACCGGTACCAGCCGCTGCAAAATCATGCCAAAATGTAAAGATCATCGAGAATAGGAAGCAACTGCATCAACTAACGAGCAAAATAACCAGCTAACATCATAATAACAGGATCAAATTCACACATAACAATATTAACTTTAAATGTAAATGGACTAAATGCTCCAATTAAAAGACACAGACTGGCAAATTGGATAAAGAGTCAAGACCCATCAGTGTGCTGTGTTCAGGAAACCCATCTCACGTGCAGAGACACACATAGGCTCAAAATAAAAGGATGGAGGAAGATCTACCAAGCAAATGGAAAACACAAAAAGGCAGGGGTTGCAATCCTAGTCTCTGATAAAACAGACTTTAAACCAACAAAGATCAAAAGAGACAAAGAAGGCTATTTCATAATGGTAAAAGGATCAATTCAACAAGAAGAACTAACTATCCTAAATGTATATGCACCCAATACAGGAGCACCCAGATTCATAAAGCAAGTCCTGAGTGACCTACAAAGAGACTTAGACTCCCACACATTAATAATGGGAGACTTTAACACCCCATTGTCAACATTAGACAGATCAACGAGACAGAAAGTCAACAAGGATACCCAGGAATTAAAATCAGCTCTGCACCAAGCAGACCTAATAGACAGCTACAGAACTCTCCACCCCAAATCAACAGAATATACATTTTTTTCAGCACCACACCACACCTATTCCAAAATTGACCACATACTTGGAAGTAAAGCTCTCCTCAGCAAATGTAAAAGAACAGAAATTATAACAAACTATCTCTCAGACCACAGGGCAATCAAACTAGAACTCAGGGTTACGAAACTCACTCAAAACCGCTCAACTACATGGAAACTGAACAACCTGCTCCTGAATGACTACTGGGTACATAACGAAATGAAGGCAGAAATAAAGATGTTCTTTGAAACCAACGAGAACAAAGACACAACATACCAGAATCTCTGGGATGCATTCAAAGCAGTGTGTAGAGGAAATTTATAGCACTAAATGCCCACAAGAGAAAGCAGGAAAGATCCAAAATTGACACCCTAACATCACAATTAAAAGAACTAGAAAAGCAAGAGCAAACACATTCAAAAGCTAGCAGAAGGCAAGAAATAACTAAAATCAGAGCAGAAATGGAAGAAATAGAGACACAAAAAAACCTTCAAAAAATTAATGAATCTAGGAGCTGGTTTTTTGAAAGGACCAAGAAAATTGATAAACCGCTAGCAAGACTAATAAAGAAAAAAAGAGAGAAGAATGAAACAGACGTAATAAAAAATGATGAAGGGGATATCACCACCGATCCCACAGAAATACAAACCACCATCAGAGAATACTACAAACACCACTACGCAAATAAACTAGAAAATCTAGAAGAAATGGATAAATTCCTCGACACATACACCCTCCCAAGACTAAACCAGGAAGAAGTTGAATCTCTGAATAGACCAATAACAGGATCTGAAATTGTGGCAATAATCAATAGCTTACCAACCAAAAAGAGTCCAGGACCAGATGGATTTACAGCCGAATTCTACCAGAGGTATAAGGAGGAACTGGTACCATTCCTTCTGAAACTATTCCAATCAATAGAAAAAGAGGGAATCCTCCCTAACTCATTTTATGAGGCCAGCATCATCCTGATACCAAAGCCGGGCAGAGACACAACCAAAAAAGAGAATTTTAGACCAATATCCTTGATGAACATTGATGCAAAAATCCTCAGTAAAATACTGGCAAACCGAATCCAGCAGCACATCAAAAAGCTTATCCACCATGATCAAGTGGGCTTCATCCCTGGGATGCAAGGCTGGTTCAATATACGCAAATCAATAAATGTAATCCAGCATATAAACAGAACCAAGGACAAAAACCACATGATTATCTCAATAGATGCAGAAAAGGCCTTTGACAAAATTCAACAACCCTTCATGCTAAAAACTCTCAATAAATTAGGTATTGATGGGCCATATTTCAAAATAATAAGAGCTATCTATGACAAACCCACAGCCAATATCATACTGAATGGGCAAAAACTGGAAGCATTCCCTTTGAAAACTGGCACTAGACAGGGATGTCCTCTCTAACCACTCCTGTTCAACATAGTGTTGGAAGTTCTGGCCAGGGCAATTAGGCAGGAGAAGGAAATAAAGGGTATTCAATTAGGAAAAGAGGAAGTCAAATTGTCCCTGTTTGCAGAGGACATGATTGCATATCTAGAAAACCGCATTGTCTCAGCCCAAAATCTCCTTAAGCTGATAAGCAACTTCAGCAAAGTCTCAGGATACAAAATCAATGTACAAAAACCACAAGCATTCTTATACACCAAAAACAGACAAACAGAGAGCCAAATCATGAGTCAACGCCCATTCACAATTGCTTCAAAGAGCATAAAATACATAGGAATCCAACTTACAAGGGATGTGAAGGACCTCTTCAAGGAGAACTACAAACCACTGCTCAATGAAATAAAAGAGGATACAAACAAATGGAAGAACATTCCATGCTCATGGGTAGGAAGAATCAATATCGTGAAAAGGGCCATACTGCCCAAGGTAATTTACAGATTTAATGCCATCCCCATCAAGCTACCAATGACTTTCTTCACAGAATTGGAAAAAACTACTTTAAAGTTCATATGGACCAAAAAAGAGCCCACATTGCCAAGTCAATCCTAAGCCAAAAGAACAAAGCTGGGGGCATCACACTACCTGACTTCAAACTATACTACAAGGCTACAGTAACCAAAACAGCATGGTACTGGTACCAAAACAGAGATATAGATCAATGGAACAGAACAGAGCCCTCAGAAATAACGCCGCATATCTACAACTATCTGATCCTTGACAAACCTGAGAAAAACAAGCAATGGGGAAAGGATTCCCTATTTAACAAATGGTGCTGGGAAAACTGGCTACCCATATGTAGAAAGCTGAAACTGGATCCCTTCCTTACACCTTATACAAAAATCAATTCAAGATGGATTAAAGACTTAAATGTTAGACCTAAAACCATAAAAACCCTAGAAGAAAACCTAGGCATTACCATTCAGGACATAGGCATGGGCAAGGACTTCATGTCTAAAACACCAAAAGCAATGGCAACAAAAGACAAAATTGACAAATGGGATCTAATTAAACTAAAGAGCTTCTGCACAGCAAAAGAAACTACCATCAGAGCGAACAGGCAACCTACAAAATGGGAGAAAATTTTTGCAACCTACTCATCTGACAAAGGGCTAATATCCAGAATCTACAATGAACTCAAACAAATTTACAGGAAAAAAACAAACAACCCCATCAAAAAGTGGGCGAAGGACATGAACACACACTTCTCAAAAGAAGACATTTATGCAGCCAAAAAACACATGAAAAAATGCTCACCATCACTGGCCATCAGAGAAATGCAAATCAAAACCACAATAAGATACCATCTCACACCAGTTAGAATGGCAATCATTAAAAAGTCAGGAAACAGGTGCTGGAGAGGATGTGGAGAAACAGGAACACTTTTACACTGTTGGTGGGACTGTAAACTAGTTCAACCATTGTGGAAGTCAGTGTGGCGATTCCTCAGGGATCTAGAACTAGAAATACCATTTGACCCAGCCATCCCATTACTGGGTATATACCCAAAGGACTATAAATCATGCCGCTATAAAGACACATGCACACGTATGTTTATTGCGGCACTATTCACAATAGCAAAGACTTGGAACCAACCCAAATGTCCAACAATGATAGACTGGATTAAGAAAATGTGGCACATATACACCATGGAATACTATGCAGCCATAAAAAATGATGAGTTCATGTCCTTTGTAGGGACATGGATGAAATTGGAAATCATCATTCTCAGTAAACTATCGCAAGAACAAAAAACCAAACACCGCATATTCTCACTTATAGGTGGGAATTGAACAATGAGAACACATGGACACAGGAAGGGGAACATCACATTCTGGGGACTGTTGTGGGGTGGGGGGAGGGGGGAGGGATAGCATTGGGAGATATACCTAATGCTAGATGATGAGTTAGTGGGTGCAGCGCACCAGCATGGCACACGTATACATATGTAACTAACCTGCACATTGTGCACATGTACCCTAAAACTTAAAGTATAATAATAAAAAAAAGACTACTTATTAAATTCAGACTTTTCCAAGGTGATTATGCATGCTACAATATTAAAGAAACCTATATAATTTTTGGAAAAGCTACAAATTTATAAAATAATGTGTAGTAATTAAATCAAAGTAATTGGGATAAGTATTAAGGATGCTTCACAATAAGAACTTTAAAATGCAAATAGAAAAAAGAAGTATAAGTAAATATACTTTCCACGTAAACAAACACATATTAAAGTACAGTAAATACAAATTACATACAAAAATAATTGTTAAAAAATAACAAGTTCAAATATAAAAATAACATTATACTTTTGCTTCTCGTTATGATGGAGTAGCTTGAAGCAATCCAGCTCTCCTACTGAGAATAATTACAAGAACCAGATTTAAAACATTTAAAGCCACTTTAAAAAAATAAGAGAGCGCTGAAGAAGCTAGGACTAGCAGAGACAGGAATCGAGTCAGAGAATTCACAGAGAAGTGAGCTGATATTCTACAGCCACTTTTTAAATTCTCTCTGTAGGACAAGAAGCTTTGAATCAGAGCTTCATGGAGGGAGAGGAAGACTGCTCAAGAAGAAAGGCATTGAGTTGCTTTGGTGGCCTTCTTGTTTCAGGAAGACATAATTAGAGACTTTGAAGAATGTGAGCTCAATAAGAAGATTGAGAAGAACTGAGCCTGACACACATGGCTCATTTTCAACATGTCTTTTGTTAAATTCTCAAAATTCATGGACAGAAGCTTAAAAATTTAAATAACCACACACACACACACACACACACACACACACACAAACACCGAAAGAGTAGTCCATGACAGAAGAAAAAAAGAGTAAAAGAAAAATGAGAGAAAAAAAAGCAAGTGGAATGAGCAAAATATTGGATCAGTAACACATTACAAAGTACAATTGTGCAAGAAATATAAAAGCTTAAAAATTTATGAAACCTATTAAATCAACATGGGTGGAAATCAGTCAATGCCACTTGAAAAACGTCTCCAGATGATTCTATGTCACTGCAAGTTGATGAAACTACTTTACAAAAACAATGGTTCTCAGATTTTAGTGACTTCAGAGTCACTTGGAGAAGTAGTTAAAACACAGCTTTCTGGGCCCAGTCCTAACCCCTGAGTTTCTAATTCATTAAGTCTGGGATGAAGCTTAAGAATTTATATTTCTAAATTGCTTTTGGCAGTATGGTCATTTTCACAGTAATATTTAGTATACATATCCATGAGCATGAAATATGTTTGCATTTGTTTGTGTCTTTTATAATTTTTTTCAGTAGTGTTTTGTAGTTTTCCTTATAGAGGTCTTTCACCCCCTTGGTTAGGTATATTCCTACTTGGTTTATTTTATTTTATTTTGCAGCTCTTGTAAAAGAGGTTGAGTTCTTGATTTGATTCTCAGCTTGGTTAGTGTTGGTGTATAGCAGTGCTACTGACTTGTGTATGATGATTTTGTATCCTGAAACTTTGCTAAATTCGTTTATATGTTTTAGGAGCTTTTGGGGTGAATCCTTAGGGTTTTCTAGGTATACAATTATATAATCAGTGCACAACACAGTTTTATTCCCTTTTTACCAATTTAGGCGCCCTCTATTTCTTTCCCTTGTCTGATTGTTCTGGCTAGGAATTCCAGTACAATGTTGAATAGAAGTGGTGAAAGTGGGCACCCTTGTCTTGTTCCAGTTCTCAGGGGGAATGCTTTCAACTTTTCCCAATTCAGTGTAATGTTGGTTATGGGATTGTCATAGATGGCTTTTATTACCTTAAGGTTTGTCCTTTCTTTGCCTATTTTGCTGAGGGTTTTAATCATAAAGAGATACTGGATTTTTTCAAATTATTTTTCTGCATCTATTGAGATGACCATGTAATTGTTATTTTTAATTCTGTTTGTGTGGTGTATCACATTTATTGACCTGTGTTTTAAATCATCCCTGTATCCCTGGTATGAGTCCCACTTGATCATAGTGAATTATCTTTTAGATATGTTGTTGGATTTGGTTAACTAGTATTTTGTTGAAGACTTTTGCATCTATATTCATTGGGGATATTGGTACCATCATCATTCCTCACAGAACAAAAAAAAAATTATAAAATTCATATGGAACCAAAAAGGAGCCAAAGCAAGACTAAGCAAAAAGAACAAATCTGGAGGTATCACATTACCTGACTTCAAACTATATATAAGACTATAGTAACCAAAACAACATGGTACTGTCATAAAAATAGACACATTGGCCAATGGAACATAATAGACACCCTATAAATAAAGCCAAATACTTATAGCTAACTGATTTTTGACAAAGCAAACAAAAACATAGAGTGGGTAAAGGACAACCTATTCAACAAATGGTGTTGGGATAATTGTCAAGCCACTTGTAGAAGAATGAAACTTGATCCTCATCTTTTACCTTATACAAAAATAAACTTAAGATTGATCAAAGACTTAAATCTAAGACTTGAAACAATAAAAATTTTAGAAGACAACATCAGAAAATCTCTTCTAGACATTGGCTTAGGCAAAGGCTTCATGACCAAGAACTCAAACACTAACGCAACAGAAAGATAATTAGATGAGACTTAATTAAACTAAAAAGTTTCTGCACAGCAAAATAATAATAATAATCAGTAGAGTAAACAGACAACCCACAGAGTGGGGGAGACTCTTCACCAATATTCATCTGAGAAAGAACTAATATCCAATACCTACAAGGAACTCCAACAAATCAGCAAGGAAAACAACAACAACAACAATCCCACCAAAAAGTGAGCTGAGGACATGAATAGACTATTCTCAAAAGAAGATATACAAATGGCCAACAAACATATGACAAAAATGCTCGACACCACTAATTATCAAGAAAATGCAAATCAGAACCACAATGCAATAGCACTGTATTAGTCCATTCTCATGCTGCTATAAATAACTGCCCAAGACTGGGTAATTTATAAAGGAAAGAGGATTAATTGACTCATAGTTCCACAGGGCCTGGGAAGTCTCAGAAAACTTACAATCATGGCAGAAGGGAAAGCAAAAACATCCTTCTTCACAGGGTGACAGGACAGAGAAGAATGAGAGCTGAGCAAAGGAGGAAGCCCCTTATAAAACTATCAGATCTTGTGGGAACTTACTATCATGAGAATAGCATGGGAGAAACCACCCCATGATTCAATTACCACCCACTGGGCCCCTCCCAAATAACATATGGGGATTACAATTCAAGATGAGATTTGGGTGGGGACACAGTCAAATCATACCAACCACCTTACTTCTCCAAGAATGGTCATAATTAAAAAATCAAAAAATAATGGATGTTGGCATGGATATAGTGAAAAGGGAGCCCTTTTACACTGGTGGTGGAAATGTAAACTAGTACAACCACTATGGAAAACCATGGAGATTCCTTGAAGAATTAAAATTAGATCTATAATCTGATACAGAAATCCCACTACTGAGTATCTACCCAGAGGAAGTCAATACACAAAAAAGTCACTTGCACATGCATGTTTATAGCAGCACAATTCATAATTTCAAAAATATGGAACCAGGCCAAATGCCCAGCAAGCAATGAATGGATAAAGAAAATGTGATATATATATCACAAAATGTTTTTTATATATATATATACACACATATAAATCACAAAATGTTATATATATATCACAAAATGTTACATATATACACATGTATGTGTGTATATATATATTTTTATATTTATGTATATACACACACACACACACACACACACACACACAAACCATGGAATACTACTCAGCCATAAAAAGGAACATAATAATGGCATTTGCAGCAAACTGGATGGAATTGGAGACCATTATTCTAAGTGAAATAACTCAGGAATGGAAAACCAAACATCATATGTTCTCACTTATAAGTGGGAACTAAGCTATGAAGATGCAAAGGCATAAAAATGACACAATGGACTTTGAGGACTTGGAGGGAAGGGTTGGAGGGAGCTGAGGGATAGAAGACTGCACATTGGGTACAGTGTACACTGCTTGGGTGATGGGTGCACCAAAATCTCAAAAATCACCACTAAATGTTTCATGGATAAGGTGACTTACTCATGTAATCAAATATCATCTGTTCCCCCAAAATCTATTGAAATAAAAAAAAGCAAAAACAATTTATATTTCTAATAAGTTCCCAGGTGACACCAATGGAGCTAATCCAAAGACCAGATGTTGAAAACCATTGTATTCAAGATATTCTTAGAAAATTAAAATGATTTGGGTAGTTAAATTACATGTGACATTTTTGTGTGTTTGTTCTATCATATTCTATAGTGGCACATTTTAGAGTTGTATATGTATTGTTACTGTGACAACACATTTTAATATTCTAGTGCTGTTTCAAGTTTAATTGAGAAGGATATGGAGAATGCTCAGTCTGTATATGTTTATGAAGAATAAGTCAAGTTCATTTAAGCTTCATGCCTGTTTTTTACTTGCTTATCTTTCAACATTGTACTAATACTTAAATTTGGAAAGTATTGAATGTATTGCTGTAGTATTAGAGACAAATTCTATAATATAGAATCTTTACCCAGCAATCTTATCCACCTCCTGACAAGTACAGGTCCCTATATCATTGAACAAGTCTCTAGGTAGCTAAGTGTAATTATTGCACAAGCAGCCTCCTTCTTTCTCTCTGGTCAGTGCTTCCTTAGCTTTTTTCTCCAAATGGTTCATTTATTTAGTTAATTTGAGCTAAATATGTGTCACAGATTCTATGTTTGGAGAAGTGCAGAAACCTTGTTTGATCTAGCTTCCTTTGTTGTAATAATCAGGAAATTGGCACATTTTAATCTCTAAATTAATACTTTTATAAATTAATAAAATAAACTAAAATTCTTGTCTCGATTCCACAATTTTCTATTTAATAAAAATAATGGAATAACTTATATTTAAGCTTAAAGTGTGTTTAAAGGTGATAACCAAATTAACATTTTATTCATGAGATTTTAGTTGACCATAAGCTTGAAGAGTTACCTTACATTTTAATCATTTGAAAAAAACAGCTACAAATTATTAAGTGATTATTCGTTGACCTGCATGTTTAGAAGTGTAGTGCTATTGATATGAAAACTGTAAATTCTATTGTTCAGCTTATATCTGATATATTGCATTTATTTCTGAGTACTAGATTTCAAGAGGCTCATAGATACACCACAGAAAAAAAAACAACCCTGATGGAGAGGTGACCAGAATAAGGAATCTTTCTAATCATTTAGACAATATTTTATTTTAAACAATTTAACTATTCCTCCTTTAACATAAGATAGATTTGGAACAAAATGAGAAGCTATAAGAAGGTAATACAACATATTGGTTTTCTTAATAGTGTTTTCTAAAACTGAGATAGAATCTTTAATGAATCTCTGAATTGGTTGCCATCGTCACAAATTAAAGGGAATAGAATCACAAGTCAAGGATTTTTATGAAAGTGATCATTCTAGCAAATGGATGGCAGAAATAAACAACTTTTAAGAGGTGCTATCACTCCTAGCTCTAGTCTAAATTTTGTTCATGAGACAGAGATTCTACAATGTAGAGGTCTTCTGACAAAGAAAAAACCCTAAACTGTTTTAGAAGCCCCCAAATAACAGTGACATCTGACTCACAGGCAACATAACCTCAATTTTAGAACACAAATTAAAGCATTATTTTTAAAACAAATATTGCTTACTGTTTCATCACTAGATCAAATTTTCAAGTAAAGGCATGACATATATTTTTATATGAAATCAGACTTGTTGAAATGTTCTTATTTGAAAGGTACTCTCTGGAAAAGATCACCAGAAAGCCATTCCTCTAATGTTAAAACTAACCATTTAGGAAAAGCAAAAAAACTCTAACTCCTTCATACAACAAAACAATTAGATGGATAAAATATTTGTATGTTAAAAAATTAACAGTGTCACAAAAGTGACAACAAAATATATAAGTGAATATTTTTCAATTCTAATCATAGGGAATGAATGCCTTAATTTGAAATAATAATACTCAGACTCTCCAAAGCTAAAAGTTGATATATTTCACTACCTAACCTTTTCGACTACTGTTGCTAAAATCTAAGTAAAACAAAATAAATCAAGTCTAAAGAAGAAATAAAACTGAAAAATGTTATTAATAGTTGACTAAGAATGTATTTTCTTACCATAGAAAGAACTCCAAAAAGTAGAAAAAATATTCAGATCTAGTGAAACACTAATAGAAAAGAAATACATGATGAGTTTATACCTAATTGTTAACAGGAATGAAATTGATATTGAGTTTAGGAGGTGTGCTATAAGAAAGAAAACTTGCTTTTATCATGTTTCTGTATTATTTAGCTCTGAACCAAGAAAACATATTAAATTTATAGGATAAAAATTAATAAAAATATGTATTAAATGTCCTGCAAACTATTATAGATAAATATTTATAGTGGGATACAAGTTGATAAAAATATATCTGTATTGGCTAATATATGTAAAATATATGGACAATTATATACAACATTGATGACAGTGGTTACTCTGCTGGATACAACAAAAGTTTTGAAAGGAGTATTTTTAGTTGTCATTCTGTAAGCTTTATTCTTTAAAAATAAATACATATTTATTTTAAAGTAAGAATATACAAAATATGTATTAATTATTGCATATAACCAAATGCAATATAACATGATGCATATTAATTATTTACCACTGAAAACTTTCATCAAAGTAACTACAATCACGCTTTCACTATCAAAAATAAATACTTGAGTTATTGGCATAAATATTGAAATTCAAAATATGGGATTTGTGGTGCCATTGATCCATGCCCAAGAATGTCACTTTCTTCCTCTCTCCTAGAGGCAAAGTAAATAGAATAAATTTTGATTAGAACATAAAAAATTGATTGACCATATTAACTTACTAAGTAGCTATTAAAAGTCTACTGAATGTTATGCTAGGAAAAACATTAATATCAAATGTAATTCCTTGTACATGTAAGGTCTTGTACATTTTCTCCCACAAATTAAAAATAATGGCCAATGACAGAGGAAAATCATAGTATAAAAACAAAATAAATATTTGTACATGGAAGTACCTGTGGTCCTTCTAAATTCTAGTGAGATGTGTACTTTCTTAGCTAATACTCTTATCCTGTGATGCTGACATTGCCTTTCTTTCTCAGTATCTTATCATTTTTCTGGACACTGTTCAAGATCTTATAGTTTCTCAGTTCTGAATAGGTAAGAGGAACTGTTAACTTGTTTGTTTTGCTCATAGTAACTGTTTAAATTAAAATCTTTTACATGAATTCAATAAGTTAAATAACTACAATTTAATTTTGCTACTACAGAATTGGGACAAAGTATTTTAGAAAAATCAAATATATAGATTTATAAATTACTTCTATTCAAAAAAACCCATGAAATTTTAAAATAAATTACTCATACATATATGTATATAAAATTCAGATAATAAATAGAATATTACTAAAATATTTTTCAAATACACTCATACTGTTTTTGAATAATCATGTTTATCATATATAAATTACACATAAATATAAGGTAAAATTATAATTTATAAAGTTTATAACTATAAATGAATTATATATAATTTATATATTTCTAATGATTTTCTTATGTTAATTGATAACTTCTACACATAATTTCTTGATATATTGCACACACACTACCAAATTGCCTCATGGATGGTATCATTTTTTTAAATACTTGAACAATGGTTCCATTTAAATGCAAATAGCACCTGTCTTCTAAAACTTTTAAGACTAAAATAATCTATTAAACACACACCACATTATGGTAACACCGCCATCTGCTGGATAGGTTTATCAAATTTTTGATGCTTGGTAATAAGTATGACCATTACTGCTATTTAAAGTTGTAAATTGCAAGAAATCATGAATCTACATTTATTGACTATCCACATATCTACAGTTTCCTCTCAATAAATAAAATAAGAATTCATATAAAAATTAGGTACATTAATTTTTTTTAGGTTTGGTAAAGTTTTTATTATTAGCTATAAACAATCAGATTTAATGAAGCAATATATCTGCTCATAAAAAGTATAAGGGATTATTAGAATTTTACACAAAATATCCCTACTCACAGAAGGCCTAATGGAATAAAAACAGTAATTAAAATGCCAAAAATAATTTTTGGTGTTTGACACCGGGAAAATGAAACATTTTGCCTAATTTTTGATAGTGTTACATGTTGAGATATGACATGTATGGCATTTCCATTGACACAAAGCCTTGCTTTTTAGCTCAAACACATCTCGTACTTTCTTTAACTTTCCCTTCAACCTTTATTTTAAGTTCAGGGATAAATGGTCAGGATGTGCAGTTTTGTTACATAAGTTAATGTGTGCTTTGATGATTTGTGGCACAGATCACCCCACCTACTAGGTAATAAGCCCAGCATCAATTAGCGATTTTTCCTGATGCTATTCCCCCAACCCCACCCCAACAGGTCCTGTGTGTGTTGTTTTTCCCCACCATGTGTCCATGTATTCTCATCATTCAGCTCCCACTCATAAGTGAGAACATGTAGTGTTTGGTTTTCTGTTCCTGCATTAGGTTGCTGGAGAATGGCTTCCAACTCCATCTATGCCCCTGCAAAGGACATGATCTTGTTCTTTTTTATGGCTGCATAATATTCCATGGTGTATATGTACCACATTTTCTTTATCCAGTCTATCATTGATGGGCATGTAGGTTGATTCCATGTCTTTGCTATTGTAAATAGTACTGCAATAAACATATGCATGCATGTACCTTTATAATAGAATGATTTATATTCCTTTGGGTATGTATCCAGTAATGAGATTCTTGAGTCCAATGGTATCTCTGCCTCTAGGTCTTTGAGGAATAGCCACACTGTCTTCCAAAATGGTTGAACTAATTGACATAGGTACATTAATTTTTATGAGACAAAGAGATTCTGCAACGGAGAGGTCTTTTGCCAAAGAAGAAAGTCTAAATAGTTTTAGAAACCCTAAGACAATAGTGACAATTTGACTCACAAGCAACATAAATATGGTGTTCAATTTTTTCTTATCCCACTAGACACCAAATTTATGACCAACATAAAAATAAATAAATAAATAAATAAATAAATAAATAAATAAATAAATTGAGTAAAGCCACATTGCTGCTTAAAACTTGACTCTCTTACCAGACTTGTCACTAGAGATTTGGCTAAATGCAATTAAAAGTGAAACAAACACTTGACCTAGAAGGAAGACATATGATTTTTCTGGCTTCAAAAATAGAATGTTCTATGGTTAAAAAGACAGCTAGGTACTCAATGGAGGAATCCTGATAAACCCCAAAGATGAAGGCAGTGATTGGCATGTTCTTAGCTCCGTGAGGGCAGAGAACATCTCCTTCTGAACATTATTTCCTATTGTATAGCTATATTCATTAAATGATATTGGGCATGACTAACTGTTATTGATTGAAAAGCAACCCTAAGAAGAATAATATTTGGGCAGTAGAAATCTTTTTTAGAATGAGTAGCCACAGTGTATTGGAAGCTCTTTTGATGTGTGGCTGTCACATATATAAAGAACAACATTAGAAAGGCTTCTTTTTCAGAGTGAGTAGTTACTGTAAGCAGAGAACTATTTTTAAGGTTTTCCTTTAACTGAGTACAAAAATGAAAAGTGTCAAAACCATGTAAAAACACAAGAGGTCAAAAGCCAGGGACTTTTATTGCTAATCAAAGAGTTGCTGTCACAAAACACTTTTGTTGCTATAAACAAAGCAGAACTTTAGTTTTAATTTCGTTCTCTAGATACAAAAGAACATATCTCAGCTATAAAGCTAGAGCAAGTAGTAATAAAGAACAAACTGTCTAAAAAGATGAAAATACATTGTTTTGATTTGATAAACATTATTTTGTTAAGAATGCTTAAAACAACCTATTGGAAATTACAGAAAACTAAATTGAAGCTGTAGTAAGCAAAAGAGTGTAGTACTGATATAAAAATAAACACATAGATCAATGGAATGGAAGACAGACCACAAAAATAAAGCCATAGACCTACCACCAACCGATCTTCAACAAAGTTATCAAAAACATTTGCACTGGGGAAATGACATCCTGTTCAATAAATGGTGCTGGGAAAATTGGATAGCCACAGGAAGAATGAAACTGGGCCCATTCCTCTTATCATCTACAAAAATTAATTTGAGATGGATTAAAGACTTAAATATAATACCTGAAAACTATAAAAATCCTAAAAGAAAACCTGGGAAAAACTCTTCTGGATATTGGCCTAGGCAAAGAATATATGACCGAGTCTTCAAAAGCCAACCAACAAACTAAATTCATGACAATTGACAAAATAATATAAAAGAAGGTAATTATAAGAAAATGTGAAAGATACGGAAAATTCAGTCTAGGAAAAACAAGCTAAAAAAGAATGAGATAGTGGGCATGGTAGCATGTGCCTGTAGACCTAGCTAATCAGGATGCTGAAGTGGCAGAATTGCTTGAGCTCAGGAGCTAGAGGCTGCAGTGAGCTTTGATGACGCCACTGAACTACAGTCTGGGTGACAGAGTGAGACCCTGTTTCAGAAAAAAAAAAGCAGAAAAAATACAAATTATGTATTACTCAAATAAGTGATAGGCTGAACATGGTGGTTCACACCTGTAATCCAAATACTTTGGGAGTCTAAGATGGGAGGATGGCTTGCACCCAGGAGTTTGAGACCTGCTTGGGAAACATAGAGTGACTACCATCTCTACAAAATTACAAAAAATTAGGGGGGCATAGTGGCATGTGCCTTTAGGCCCAGCTACTTGGGAGGCTGAGGTATTAAGATTGCTTGAGCCCAGGAGGGTAAGGCTGCATTGAGCCAAGTTTGTGTCATTGCAGCCTGGGGGACAGAGTGAGACCCTGTCTCTAAAAAACATAATAATAACAATAATCACAACTATTTTGGACGGGCACTGTGGTTTACGCCTGTAATCCCAACACTTTGGGAGGCTGAGGCAGACAGATCACCTGAGGACAGGAGTTCGAGCCCAGCCTGGCCAACATGGTGAAACCCCATCTCTACTAAAAATACAAAAAACTAGCCAGGTGTGATGGTGCACGCCTGTAATCCCAGCTACTCGGGAGGCAGAGACAGGAGAATCACTTGAACCTAGGAGTTGTAGATTGCAGTGAGCCAAGGTCTTGCCATTGCTCACTCCAGCTTGGGTGACTAGAACAAGACTTCATCTCAAAAAAAAATAATAATAATAATAATAATCTTAAACTGAAGCTTAACATGAATGTATAAACAAAATCTAAGTATTCTAATATCAAGTGTCATTTCATTGAAATATTTGAGTTTTAATATTCAAAAACAATATAAGCACACAAATAACACAGGATAGAGATGAGGGAAAACAAAGGAAAAGAACACAGCCTGGAAACAACAAAGGATATTGATAACAAAGCTGCAAGGAAAGATCTTTTATGGGGAGGGAGAAGGTAAGAAGTAGACAAAGACTTAAAATTCAAGAATTCTCCAATCAGCCAAAATACTTTTTATGCATAAAGAAAATAGATATTCCTGACTCAGTAGATGCTTACAAATTATTCCCTGATTAAGTCATTAAAACAAGCGTTCAGTAATTATATCACTTATGTAACTTCTTAAATAAATTACACAGATATAATTGTTTGAACAAAAGATGAAGTAAAACACAAGCTGAAGAATATAAGACTGTACAAAAAGTTTACTGTTGTCAATTAAATTAGCTAAATATGAGTCAAGTCCACATAATTATTCTACAAATAAAAAATAATCAATTAGAATAATCTCAAAAGAAATACATAATATAAAATTAACATGAATATTTATCTGCACCAAAATATCTCTGATTTAATAAACAAATTGAATGGAGTATATGAGGAAAGTGTTTAGAATTTAAATATCCATCTTTTACAGATGGGCTACTCTTTTATTGTTTACATTGCCAATAAAAATAAAGTTTCAGGTGTGTGTCTGCTTGCAAGGATGTGTGTGTGTGTGTGTGTGTGTGTGTGTGTGTGTGTGTGTGTGTGTATCTGGTTAATTGTAAAAACATAATTAATTGATTTTAATGGTAAATCATTTTCTCCTACTGTCTTTTGGGATCTGTGATGTAGCACTAGTTGTTTTTCTCCTGCCCCTGGATGAAAAGCTGGGCAGTATCCTTATATTTTCGATTCACTGATCCCAGAGAAATACAAACTACCATCACAGAATACTGTAAACACCTCTACGCAAATAAATTAGAAAATCCAGAAGAAATGGATAAATTTCTGGACACATAAACCCTCCAAGACTAAACCAGGAAGAAGTTGAATCTCTGAATAGACCAATAACAGGCTCTGAAATTGAGACAATAATTAATAGCTTACCAACCAAAAAAAATTCCAGGATCAGACAGATTCACAGCCAAATTCTACCAGAGGTACAAGGAGGAGCTGGTACCATTCCTTCTGAAACTATTCCAATTGACAGAAAAAGAAGGAATCCTCCCTAACACATTTTATGAGGCCAGCATCATCCTGATACCAAAGCCGGGCAGAGACACAATAAAAATAGAGAATTTTAGACAAATATCCCTGATAAACATCGATGCAAAACTCCTCAGTAAAATACTGGCAAACTGAATCCAGTAGCACATCAAAAAGCTTGTCCACCATGATCAAGTGGGCTTCATCCCTGGGATGCAAGGCTGGATCAACAAACGCAAATCAATAAACGTAATCCAGCATATAAACAAAACCAAAGACAAAAACCACATGATTATCTCAATAGATGCAGAAAAGGCCTTTGACAAAATTCAGCAGCCCTTCATGCTAAAAACTCTCAATAAATGAGGTATTGATGGGACGTCTCTCAAAATAGTAAGAGCTATTTATGACAAACCCACAGGCAATATCATACGGAATGGGCAAAAACTGGAAGCATTCCCTTTCAAAACTGGCACAAGACAAGGATGCCCTCTCTCACCACTCCTATTCAACATAGTGTTGGAAGTTCTCGCCAGGGCAATCAGGCAAGAGAAAGAAATAAAGGGTATTCGATTAGGAAAAGAGGAAGTCAAATTGTCCCTGTTTGCAGATGACATGAATGTATATCTAGAAAACCCAATCTTCTCAGCCCAAAATCTCCTTAAGCTGATAAGCAACTTCAGCAAAGTCTCAGGATACAAAATCAATGTGCAAAAATCACAAGCATTCTTATACACCAATAACAGACAAATAGAAAGCCAAATCATGAGGGAATTCCCATTCACAATTGTTTCGAAGATAATAAAATACCTAGGAATCCAACTTACAAGGGATGTAAAGGATCTCTTCAAGGAGAACTACAAACCACTGCTCAACGAAATAAAAGAGGACACAAACAAATGGAAGAACATTCCATGCTCATGGGTAGGAAGAATCAATATCATGATAATGTCCATACTGCCCAAGGTAATTATAGATTCAATGCCTTCCCCATCAAGCTACCAATGACTTTCTTCACAGAATTGGAAAAAACTACTTTAAAGTTCATATGGAATCAAAAAAGAGCCCACATTGCCAAGTCAATCCTAAGCCAAAAGAAAAAAGCTGGAGGCATCACACTACCTGACTTCAAACTATACGACGAGGCTGCAGTAACCAAAACAGCATGGTACTGGTACCAAAACAGAGATACAGACCAATGGAAGAGAACAGAGCCCTCAGAAATACTACCACACATCTACAACTATCTGATCTTTGACAATCCTGACAAAAACAAGAAATGGGGAAAGGATTCCCTATTTAACAAATGGTGCTGGGAAAACTGGCCACCCATATGTAGAAAGCTGAAACTGGATCCCTACCTTACACCTTATACAAAAATTAATTCAAGATGGATTAAAGACTTAAATGTTAGACCTAAAACCATAAAAACCCTAGAAGATAAACCTATTCAGGTTTTCAATACCATTCAGGACATAGGCATGGGCAAGGACTTCATGTCTAAAACACCAAAAGCAATGGCAACAAAAGCCAAAATTGACAAATGGGATCTAATTAAACTAAGGAGCTTCTGCACAGCAAAAGAAACTACCATCAGAGTGAACAGGCAGCCTACAGAATGGGAGAAAAATTTTGCAATCTACTCATCTGACAAGGGGCGAATATCCAGAATCTACAAAGAACTCAAACAAATTTACAGGAAAAAAACAAACAACTCCATCAACAAGTGGGCAAAGGATATGAACAGACACTTCTCAAAAGAAGACATTTATGCAGCCAACAGACACATGAAAAAAATGCTCATCATCACTGGCCATCAGAGAAATGCAAATCAAAACCACAATGAGATACCATCTCACACCAGTTAGAATGGCGATCATTAAAAAGTCAGGAAACAACAGGTGCTGGAGAGGATGTGGAGAAACAGGAACACTTATACACTGTTGGTGGGACTGTAAACTAGTTTAACCATTGTGGAAGAGACTGTGGTGATTACTCAGGGATCTAGAACTAGAAATACCACTTGACCCAGCCATCCCAGTATATATCCACTGGGTATACACCCAAAGGATTATAAATCATGCTGCTATAAAGACACATGCACACATATGTTTATTGTGGCACTATTCACAATAGCAAAGACTTGGAACCAACCCAAATGTCCAACAACGATAGACTGAATTAAGAAAATGTGGCACATATACACCATGGAATACTATGCAGCCATAAAAAAGGATGAGTTCATGTCCTTTCTAGGGACATGGATGAAGCTGGAAATCATCATTCTCAGCAAACTATCACAAGGACAAAAAACCAAACATCGCATGTTCTCACTCATAGGTGGGAATTGAACAATGAGAACACTTGGACACAGGAAGGGGAACATCACACACTGAGGCCTGTCGTGGGGTGGGGGGAGGGGGGAGGGATAGCATTAGGAGATATACCTAATGTAAAGGACGAGTTAATGGGTGCAGCACACCAACATGGCACATGTATACATATGTAACAAACCTGCACGTTGTGCACATGTACCCTAGAACTTAAAGTATAATAAATATGTATACATATTTTTTTTAAAAAAGAAAAGAAAAAGAAAGTGTAGTTATGATCAGATTTCTCTTCCTTTCCTCTACGTAATATTTCTTCTCTTCCATAGAAAAGTAACACCTGTTTCTGGCCACTTTGAAATTGGAGTTAGGGAATAGTGGTACAAAGTGAGAAAGGAGATAAGCTTTTTATCTGAGGAATTCAAGCCCCTTTAAATTATCAGGTCCAGAGAGAGAGAGTGAAATGTGACAGCAGTCAAATCTCTCTCCTCCCTTAGGCCAAACAATTACCCTTTGATGCCATTTGGTATGTTGGCTTTAGAGTGATTGATATCCAGTAGCCCTACAATGCCATATACCAAACACCATAACTCATATCCTATATTTCAACAATGTATGGTCAATTACTAATCAATGTTATTTATTTATGTATGCCAATGAGAATTCCTGTCGAATAACTGTGCATCAGCCACCTCCTTATTCCCATTTGCCTTTAAAAACTTGCTTCTAACAAAGGCTCAATTGAGCACTCACCAAGGCAACTAGGAAGTATATCCCAGGCAGCTTTCCTCATTTTAGCTCAAGTAAACTCTTTAAAATTATATTTTATCCTCAGCTTATTTCTTTAGGTCAACAGGATAAAGGAAGTTGAGAAAGATCTTACTTCAGAAATACTACCATGATGCACTCAGACAAGCCCAAACTTGGCAGATAGCTAAGTCTAACATGTTGTCCTGAGAAAAGTTCTCCAGTACTGAAGACCTCCCATCTGCAATGTCCTGTAGAGAGGAAATGCCTGCTGGATAGTCATTTATTCTCAGTTCCCAGGAATACTTTCCACTTCTCTCTGCTGAGATCTAGTTCCTCAGCCTGCGCAAAATCTAAAGTAACACATATTTGAATATCTTTCATGGGTTGACTCATGACCAAAAAAAGAAAAAAACAATGCTATCAATACCTTGCCCAAAAACTGTAGAAAGACAAAACAGCCAAAAAGGCACCTTTTTCTGCTTTGATAAACTACCCCACCATCTCTCACTCTTTCTCAGTTGTAAATCAGACAATATTTTAAGATGTCTGCTAAAGTACAGAGGAACACAAATGAAGAGCTCCACATGGTTTCTTCAGAGCATCATTTTTCTTATTTAAAGTTCTATTAGAATGCCACCTCTCTCTGGTTCTCATCCCCTCTGAGACTCACAGCACAATCCATAAGCCCTAGAGAAAAATAGTCTCCAAAGGTACTTCCACATCCCCAACTCTCAACTCTGTTAGATTCTCAATGTGAATAGTGGGAGAGGCTAGTCATTTAAATAGATGCACTTCTACTTTTAAGTTTATAATCTAGCATCTAACTTTAAATGTTTCCACCTAGTTTGTTTCAGCAATTTTTTTTAAAAATGAGTATATATGTCACTAGACAGAATGCTGAATATAACCACTGAAAGATCAGATTCTGTATTTCTAGAATTTTTTAATTGAATAAATGCATTTTATGTAACTAGAGCAAAGAAGACAACAAAAACCTAGGACTTAGAGCAGAAAGCAAAAAATAACAATAATCACACTGCATTAATGATGGTAATAACATGAAAACATTAATAAATATTAAAACAAAAAAAATGAGTGTTGTAGGACAAAGCCTGTCCCGTATCTCATCCTACTTTTACTCTAGCCATAAAGCCTCCTTGGAGATCCTCAGACAAATCACTTCCTTGTTGATCCCTTTAGCTGGAGCAACTAGAAGCTGCACCTTTTCAAGCCTTTGCTCAAATGCTATCTTTTCAAGGTGACAATGACTCTCTAAAATTCCAACCAAACTTCATCCCCTACACTCTCCATTCCCTTCACCATGTTATGTCAATTTATTACCATTAGAACTTATGTTTTCTAACAAAGTACATAGTTTACTGAAAACTATGTTAATTTTTTTAGATGTGATTCTTACCACTAAAATGTAGCAGCCAGAAGGAAGAGACTCTTTATAAATTTGCTCAAGGATGTTTTTATTGTTTTTAAATAAGTAATTGCCATTTAATCAACTATATTTATTTGTCAGTCTGTGCGTGTTTGAATGGATGTAAAATAGATACCTGGCAAGCAACTATGGTACCATCTCTTTGATATAAAGCCATATAAAGCAGTGGTCTTTAATGAAACTTAAGAGTACATAAAACATCTTTATACCCAAGTAATAGCATCTTTGAGATCTACCTTTTGTTCTCATTCACGCCTTGATTTAAATTAACAAATGTATTCTCCTAACACTAACATATAAATAATACCAAAATGTATACCCATACCTAAACCTCTATTTTTCTATCTTATATTTAAAAATCCCTATAATTTTTCAAATAGGTAGATGAGGACATATCTAAATATTAAGAGATAGACAGAGAGAGAGAGAGAGAAGGAATGAGAGACCCAGTCTTACTTCATTAATAAAGCCTTCTAGGGACATCAAAGGCACGGTTTCTCAAGGATAGCACTGATAATGACTTTGGATCCCAAATTGAATTGGATAGTAAAGTTGAAGGCTTAAATACGATGCATTAATTTTGTTCCTAAGCATACATCTCAGAGAAGTTCTTGTACATATCCTAACAGAACAGATGTACAAGAATGCCTAAGGACAGCATTATTTGTTTTAAAAAAGATAAAGATCAAAAATATGCCAATTATTTATCAAATCAACAAAGAAATTTTGAAATATTTACACAATGGAAGGCCATAGATCAGTGAACACAAATAAACAACAGTCGCTCACAAAACAGAGGTTCATTTAAAATACAAAATGGTGAGTAAATAACCAGTGTGATGGTTAATACTGAGTGTCAACTTGGTTGGATTGAATGATATAACCTATTAATCTTGGGTGTTTCTGGGAAGGGGTTGCCAAAAGAGATTAACATTTGAGTCAGTGAGCCGGGAAAGGCAGACCCACCTTAATCTAGGTGGGCACAATCTAATCAGATGCCAGCATGGCTAGAATATAAGCAGGCAGAAAAATGTAAAAAGTGAGACTGGCCTAGCCTCCCAGCCTACATATTTCTCCCATGTTGGATGGCTTCCTGACCTTGAACATTGGTCTCCAAGTTCTTCAGTTTTAGAACTCAGACTGGCTTTTCTTGCTCCTCAGCCTGCAGATAGCCTATTGTGGGACCTTGTGATCATATGAGTTAATACTTAATAAACTCCCATATATAAATTAATTAGGGAGATTGGGATGGTGGAGTGGATTAATCACTTTAGACCTACTCATCCCAGCTGGTAGGATCCAGAAAATATACCCTTGACCAATACCTTGCAAAATGACTTGTGAGGGCAGCACCTGCATCTTTGAAGAGCCCTGTAATTGCCCTTCTCTGTATGTCAGATCTAACAGTGGGAACCACAGTCACTCAATTAATTTAAATACAATGGGAATAATTGGATCCCAAAGTAGCAGGGGCCAAGTGGTGGCACTCAACCTTTAAAGACATGGTGAGCATAGCTACCGTAATAGACAGCAGAGGCAAAGCGGCAATCAGAATAGCCTGACTCCTGTAGAGCTCTGGCATTGGCTAATTAATCACAGTTTTCCTAGAAGTGAAATTGATAGGAAGCCTACTGTGTTCCTACTTATTTATATAAGCAGAAAACTTCTAGGTTGAATGGACAAAACACTAATTTGAATTATGAAAACAGAATCAAAGCCTCTCAATCAATTTCCAGATGTGAGCTAGCTTACAGACCCAGAACCCCCTGAATTAAGGGGAGGCCAGGTCCCCTTGAGGAAGGACCCCACTACATTACCAACAATTTATGTCGTGAACCTTTCTCCCATCCTTCCCCAAGGAGACCTTTGGCCTTTCACTGAGGTAACTCTGTATTGGGGAAAGGGAAATTATCAGCCATTTCAGGACTGCTGGACACTGGGTTTGAGCTGCCGTTGATTCCAGGGGACCCAAAATGTCACTGCGGTCCTCCAGTTAAAGCGGAAACTTATGTAGGTCAGGTAATTATTGGAGTTTTAGCATAGATCCAACTTACAATGTGTCCAGTGGGTCCCTGGACTCATCCTGTGGTCATTTCCCCAGTGTCAGAATGCATAGTTGGCATAGACATACTTGGCAGCTGGCAGAACCTCCATATTGGCTCCCTGACTGGTAAGGTGAGGGCTACTATGATGAGAAAGGCCAAATGGAAGCCATTAGAGCTGCCTCTGCCCAGAAAAATAGTAAATCAAAAACAATATTGCATTGCTGGAGAGACTGCAGATATTAGTGCCACCATCAAGGACTTGAAAGACGCAAGGGTGGTGATTCCTACCACATCCCCATTCAACTCTCCCATTTGCCCTGTGCAGAAGACAGATAGATCTTAGAAAATGACAGTGGATTATCATAAGCCTAACCAAGTGGCGACTCCAATTGCAGCTGCTGTACCAGTTGTGGTTTCATCGCTACAGCAAATTTACACATTTCCTGGTACCTAGTATGCAGCCATTGACTTGGCAAATGCCTTTTACTCCATTCCTGTCCATAAGGCCCACCAGAAGCAATTTTCCTTCAGCTGGCAAGGCCAGCTATATACCTTTCCTGTCCTACTTCAGAGGTATATCAACTCTCCAGTTTTGTGTCATAATTTTATTTGGAGAAAACTTCATCACTTTTTTCTTCCAAAAGATATCACAATGGTCCATTACATTGATGACATGATGCTGATTGGATCCAGTGAGCAAGAAGTAGCAAACTCACTGGACTTATTGGTGAGACATTTGCATGCTAGAGGATGCAAAATAAATCCGACTAAAATTCAGGGAACTTCTACCTCAGTAAAATTTTTAGAGTTCCAGTGGTGTGGGGTCTGTCAAGATATTCCTTCTAAGGTAAATGATAAGTGGCAGCATTTGACCCCACAACAACCAAGAAAGAGACACAATGTCAACTGGGCCTATTTGGGTTTTGGAGGCAACACATTCCTCATTTGCGTGTGTTACTCTGGCCCATTTACCGAGTGACCCGAAAGGCTGCCAGTTTTTAGTGGGTTCTAGAACAGAAGGCTCTGCAACAGGTCCAGGCTGCTGTGCAAGCTGCTCTGCCACTTGAGCCATATGACCCAGCAGATCCAATGGTGCTTGAGGTGTCAGTGGCAGATGGGGTTGCTGTTTGGAGCCTTTGGCAGGCCCCGATAGGTGAGTCACAGAGGAGGCCTCTAGGATTTTGGAGCAAGGTCCTACCATCTTCTGCAGATAACTACTCTCCTTTTGAGAGACAGCTCTTGGCCTGTTAGTGGGCTTTGGTGGAAACTGACCTTTTGACTATGGGTCTTCAAGTCACCATGTGACCTGAACTGGCTATCATGAACTGGGTGCTTTCGAAATGGCCCATCTCACCATAAAGTGGGTCATGCACAGTAGCATTCCATCATCAAATGGAAGTGGTATGCATGTGATTGAGCTCAAGCAGGTCCTGAAAGCACAAGTAAGTTTTATGAAGAAGTGGCTCCAATGCCCATGGTCTCCACTCCTGCCTCCCTGCCTTCTCTCCCCCAGCCTGCACCGATGGCCTCAGGGGGAGTTCTCTATGATCAACTGACAGGAAGAGAAGACCAGGGCCTGGTTTACAAATGGTTCTGCACCATATGCAGGTGCCACCCAAAAGTGGACAGTTGCAGCACTATAGCCCCTTTTTAGGACACCCCTGAAGGACAACAGTGAAGGGAAATCTCCCCAGTGAGCAGAACTTCAATCAGTGCACCTGGCCATGCATTTTGCATGGAAGGAGAAATGGCCAGGTGTGTGACTACATACTGATTCATTGGCTGTAGCCAGTGGTTTCAGTGACTTGGAAGAAGCATGATTCAAAAATTTGTGACAACAATATTTGGGGAAGAAGTATGTGGCTGGAACTCTGTGAGTGGTCAAAAACTGTCAAGACATTTGTGTCCCATGTGAGTGCTCACCAAAGGGTGACCCCAGCAGAAGAGAATTTGAGTCATCAAGTGGGTGGGATGACTGGTTCTGTGGACAGTGTTCAGCCTCTTTCCCCAGCCACTCCCTGACATCACCCAATGGGCCCATGAACAAAGTGTCTACGGTGGCAGGGATGGAGGCTCTGCATGGACTCAGTAACAAGGACCTCCACTCAGCAAAGATGACCTGGCTATGTCCACTGCTGAGTGCCCAATTTGCCAGCAGCAGAGACCAATACTGAGCACTCCATATGGCACCCTTCCTCAGGGGGATCAGCCAGCTACCTGGTGGCAGGTTGATTATATTGGACCTCTTCCATCATGGAAAGGGCAGAGGTTTGTCGTCACTGGAATAGACACTTATTCCATATATGGGGTTTTCTATTCTGCACGCAAAGCTTCTACTAAGACTACCATCCATCAACTCATGGAATGCCTTATCCACTCTCATGGTATTCCAAACAACATTGTCTCTGACCAAGGCACTCACTTTATGGCTAAAGAAGTGTGGCAGTGGGCTCAGACTCAGAGAATTCACTGGTCTTACCATGTTCGCCATAATCGTGAAGCAGCTGGATTGATAGAATGGTGGAAAGGCCTTTTGAAGTCACGACTACAATGCCAACTAGGTGACAATACTTTGCAGGACTAGGGCAAAGAAGGCCATGTATGGGCTGAATCAGCAGCCAATATATGGTACTGTTTCTCCCATAGCCAGGATTCACGGGTCCAGGAATCAAGGGGTGGAAGTGGAAGTGTCACCACTCACCAATATCCCTAGTGATCCACTAGCAAAATTTTTGTTTCCTGCTCCCTCAACATTATGTTCTGCTGGCCTAGAGTTATTAGTTCCAGAGGGAGGAACCCTGCTACCAGGAAACACAACAATGATTCCATTAAATTGGAAGTTAAGATTGGTACCTGGATACTTTGGGCTCCTCCTAGCTTTAAGTCCACAGGCTAAGAATGGAGTCACAGTGTTGGCTGAGGTGATTGACCCAGACTATCAAGATGAAATCACTCTACTATTCCACAACGGAGGTGGGGAAGAGTATGCACGGAATACAGGAGATCCATTAAGGCATCTCTTAGTATTACCAAGCCCTATGATTAAGGTCAATGGGAAAACTACAACACCCCAATCCAGGCAGGACTACAAATGACTCAGCCCCTTCAGGAATGAAGGTTTGGGTCACTCCACCAGGGAAAAAACCACGACCTGCTGAGATGCTTGCCAAAGGGAAAGGGAATACAGAATGGGTAGTAGAAGAAGATAGTCATCAATACCAGCTACGACCACTTGACCAGCTGCAGAAATGAGGACTGTAATTGTCATGACTATTTCCTCCCTTTTTTTTTTTTTTTTTTCTGGAGACAGAGCCTCACTCTGTTGCCCAGGCTGGAATGCAGTGGCATGACCTTGGCTCACTGCAACCTCCACCTCCCATGTTCAAGCAATTCTCCTGCCTCAGCCTCCCAAGTAACTGGGACTACAGGCACAAGACACCACGCCCAGCTAATTTTTTGTATTTTAGTAGAGATGGGGTTTCACCGTGTTGCCCAGGCTGGTCTCGAACTCCTAAGCTCAGGCAATCCACTTGCATTGGGCTCCCAAAGTTCTAGGATTACAGGTGTGAGCCACTATGCCCGGCCCCTTGTTCTTTTGTTAAAAATATGTTTGTGCATGTATACACTTGAAATAAGAAAATACCTTCATTTTATGTTCTTTCTCCTTTATCATGATTCACAGATTTATTGACTTCATATCAGCATTTAAGTACTGTTAACTTTATGTAATAGTATTTGGGTTGGGATTGGTGCATTTCCAGTTGTACGAAGAATAGTTGTATTATGTTAGGCATAATTTTCACTTTAGTATTGTCTTTTTTGGAAAATTATTTATGACCTCAGGAGATGTGTATGGGTTCAAGTTGACAAGGGGTGAACTTGTGATGCTTAATACTGAGTGTCAACTTGATTGGAATGAAGGATACAAAATATTGATCCTGGGTGTGTCTGTGAGGGTGTTGCCAAAGGAGATTAACATTTGAGTCAGTGGACTGGGAAAAGCAGACCCATGCTTAATCTGGGCGGGCACAATCTACTCAGCTGCCAGCACAGCTAGAATATAAGCAGGCAGAAAAATGTAAAAGAGAGACTGGCCTAGCCTCCAAGCCTACATCTTTCTCCAGCGCTGGATCCTTCCTGCCCTTGGACATCAGACTCCAATTTCTTCAGTTTTTACTCTGACTAGATCTCCTTGTTCCTCTTTGGGGGACTTTGGGAAGGTATGATTGGTTTTGAAATGTGAGGACATTAGATTTGGCAGGGGCCAGGGGTGAAATGATATGGTTTGGCTGTGTTCTCACTCAAATCTCATCTTGAACTGTACCCCCATAATTTTCTTGTGTTGTGGGAGGGACCCGGTGGGAAATAATTGAATCATGGTGGCAGTTCCTCCCATACTATTCTCATGGTAGTGAATAAGTCTCACGAGATCTAATGGTTTTATCAGGGGTTTCCACTATTGTGTCTTCCTCATTCTGTCTTTGCCTCCTGCCATCAGTGTAAGACGGGACTTGCTCCTCCTTATATTCCACCATGACTGTGAGGCTTCGCCAGCCACATGGAACTGTAAAAATCTAATTAATGGTATTTTTCCTAAATTGCCCAGTCTCAAGTATGTCTTTATTAGCATCATGAAAAGGGACTAATACAACCAGTTTTAGAAGATCATCCAAAATATAATAAAATTTTAACCCCCAAACAATAAAATTAAACGATATAATATTTCAGGAAGTACATAACTACAATAAAAACTAATTTTAAAAATCAAAAGAATGACAACTAATAATTCTAGATAGAGGTTATACCTGCAGGGGAGGCAAAGGTGAAGGATTTGAAAGGAGCACATTGTAGAAAATATCAGTGAAGTTCTAGCTCTTGAGTTATGAGATGAATTTACAATTGTACATTCGTCATCATGTTTATAATATATATATATAGGTTTTATATATTCATTTTTGTATGTTTAATATTTTATTTGGAAGATGGTAAAAGTAAAAATAATATAGAGTACCCCCGATGCACTTTGGTTGTAATGGGAAGATAATAAAATAAGCAAAGATTGAACATCAAGCTTAAGGAGTCATTTTTGTATGTATATTTTGAGGTAGAAGTGTCAGTAGAAAGATAAATAAAAAATTATGTTGTAAAACAATGTCAATAATTGGCAGTGAAAGATTTCTGGGCATGTTAGAGTGGCATGTGGAGAATCACACCTGAGACTGGACCACACAGTCACATTAGATTTGTTTTTCTATGCCCCTCATGCAGGCTTTTCTGATTTGAGTACAAATTATTCTTTTCTTCTTTTGTGCTAGCTCTGAACACATATGGAGTTATTAAAATATTAAAAACAAAAGTAAAATATTTTAGAATAAGAACTTTGTTTATAGAACCATGTCCTCTACTTAATAGAAGATACTTTTCCTTTAAAAAAAAAAACACACTGTATTCTTACTATTTAACACAATTCTTGACACATACTGCATGTTTTTAAAAAATGTGTTAAACTGCTATCAATTTAATTGATAACTATCATGCTTATCATTAGGCTGAACGATAGGAAATAATCATGTTCAATAAGTTTTGATCTACAATATGGCAACTTTGTATAAATCATCCTACTATTAGAATACTCTCCCTTAAAAGAGTAGTTTTGGGTTCCAAGGCAAAAACCTCAAATTCTATTACAACAAAGAAGAGGAGAACAGATTAGGATATTCTGTTAATAATGCAAGAAAGGGTCTCTGAGGATGAAAATATGGAATTTAAGGCTATTTCACATTTTAAAATAATACAAATTAATCCTTCAAACACAATCTTGAACTCCTAACACTTGTTGCTAATGCCGATAATTCTTACAATATTTTAAGTATAGGCTATTAATAGATTACCCAAAAGAGTCAGGACCTAATCAGAAGTTACATAATACAAAAATCATGGAGATAATATTTGAAGTATAATTTACTTGAAAAAAAACATAGAAACATAACGTTACTTTATTAATAAATAGGAAATAATTTCAGCATAGAAAACCTTAAGATTTGAGTTTAAACTTTTGCATTTTTACTACTAAACTGTGAATAGATACTGTAAATAGGTAGATAGACCAACTGACCAATCAACTGATTAATAACTATAGTATTTGTTTTATCTTGCAATGAGAACTTATTAAATGATACAGGTACACAAACTAAAATCTCTCTGTATAGGTATCTTTTTGCATTTCTATAACATTAACTAACATGTGAAGTGATCGGTAGGAAAAAGTAAGCACAACCTAATATAGGTGTCTTCTTTGTTTAAATAAATAGAATTACGAAAAGTTACTTTAATAAATATTTTCCTTTCCCTCCAATGTCATTAAATATGTTGACGTTTATTTTGTGTTGAGTACAAATCATCATCCAGGGTGTGTGAAAGAGAATTAAAATATTTTTACAAAAATGTGTAATTTGATAACAATGAACCAAAATTATGATTAACATCCAACTACTAAGTGGGATTCTCCAGCCACATACTAATTCTGATGTATTTAATTGCAAAGTTTATACCTAAATAGCTGCTTAATGATCTGGGACCCAGACAACACAATAAAAAACATTTCATTGATAACATTTCTTGGTGCTCATGAAACTTTCTTGTATTCATGAAGTATGATCATTTAACCTTTGCTTGTTCTTCTTTTCCGTGAGACTGATGCAACATCTGAAGTTATTTAAAAACTGCATAGTGCTAGGCATCGTTATGTATGTAAACTGATCACTTCTCACTGATTGTACTAGCTTGGTTCTCTGCTATAACCTTAGGTATTTTACTTTAATTGATGGTTGTAAGATATTCTATATTTTGTGACATTTTTAACCTTTCATTATAATAGAATGGTTTTTAAAGTTTATTTCTTAATACATATTTACTCCCTCACAAGTCAGAGTTTGAGTGGATTTTTTTTCACTTTTATTTTATCCGTGTCCAAATCAATGATCCATGATTTGTAAGTCCCATCAGGAGTTCTTTTACAAATGTCAGGAATTGCATCAGGATCTCTATGAGAATGTGCTGTTCAAATGCCCCCCAAAATTAGATTTTTTCTCTTTCCATTCCTTCACTCATGTAGGTGCATGATTATCAAAGTAAAATTTTAAAGCATGAAAATTATTCAAATTGTATGAGTCCCATTTCTCCATGTAGGATACAACTAACTAAATGCAATTCAACAATTATGCACCATTTAATACAAACATTATTCATTCAATGACTATTCACTGATCACCAACAATGTGCCTGAGTATGTGTTAAATGGAAAAAAAAAAAAAAAAGGAAAAGGAAAAAGACAAGCAGTGTCCCTGTCATTTTATTTCATATCAGTGGATCTTAAAAGTCAGTAAGCATGCCTCAAAATTACTTGTTAAAACACAGATGCTTGGGATCCACACCCAGAGCTTAGTTTTCAGGTTTCAGTAGGTCTGGGAGTAGTACACTTATGCTGAAGCTGCTGGCCTGGGGACACACTTAGATAACCACCAAGTTAGATAAATATCTGTATTCCAAATGAACTTTTGTCCATGTAACACAGTAGAAACTTTGAGTGTCAACATTTTCACTTTCCTTTCACTTTTATATCTGCATCGCCTGTTATCATACCAAATAAAATTTTTCACTTGCTGAAGTGATAAAAGAAGCATGAGCATTCTTTCTGGGAGGGGGTGTTCAGCATTTCCTCAGTACATCATCTGCGACTATTTAAAATTATTAAGAATGCTATCTACAGGCTATATATTGTTAGATGTAGTGTGTGTGTGTTTCTGTGTCTGTGTGTTTATTTGCAAGAAATAAACACATGCTAAAAGTAGTTATTTCTTGTAAATCCTTTTGAAGTATAACATACACACCAAAAGATGCCAAAATCACACGTACACAGCTTAATAAAGTTTCATAAAGTATGCACACACATTGTAACTGTTGTCCAGATCAAGAAATAGGACATTACTAGCACTCCCAGAAAATCCCTTGTAACCCTTTCCATCGTATCTCCTCTAAGGATAACCATGATCCTTACTTCTAACATATCAATTAAATACATCTACTTCTATATGTAAATAAGTAGAAATAAATAGAAGCATATTGATGTAATTTGCATGGCTGCTGCCTTATTGATTTGTTGTTTTTGTTGGTTTTGCTGTTGTTGCTGTTGTTTTTCTCAACATTATCTCTGTGATGTGTTGGTGGTAGTTTAATTTGTATTGTTTCTTGTGTTGTATTTTGTGAATATACCACAATATATCCTGTTGCTCATGAACAGTTGAGTTCTTTCCAATGTTTTGCAAGTGCTATTATGGAAATAATTATTTATAATTTTTGGTACATATTTGTATGGATTTTGCGTAGGTATAGGCATAAAAATTCAATTGCTAGATAAGAGGGAATGTGTGTATTCAGTTTTAGTAAATGCTACCAAACAATTTTCAAGAGGGATTTTAACAATTTACACTCTCATCAGGAGTGCATCAGGATTCTGGCTGCTTCCTATCCTTGCCAAGATGTATTGTTCGTTCATTTGTATTGTTTTGCTTTGTTTTTTTTGCTTCAGACATTCTGGTTGGTTTATATAAAGTTTAGCATATTTCACATGTGTTTTGCAATGTTATAGTAGATGTCTTCTTTTCTCTTATTTATACAATGGATTTTTTTTGTAATACAAAAAAACTCTACTCACCCCGTTGTTTGCTTTTCTAAATTTCATCTTGTGAAATCGAAATATGTTTATATTTTATGAAATATAAATTTCAAGTTATTATATATTATTATTATTTATTTATTTTTCCTTTTGTCTTATTATTGTTTGGGAATTTGTTGAGAAAGTGTTGCCTAATCCAAGATTATGAAGCTATTTAGCTAGTTTTTTTCTAGAAGATTATTTAACTTTACATTTAGATCCATAATCCATTTATAGTTTTTTGGGCTTAGGCCTAAGTATAGCCACTATTCTGATTCTAGCCTATTATAAGTATCTGCAAATGTCCCAGTGAGAAAATAGCTTAAAATTGTCAGCTTCTATCTCTGCTTTAAAAAAATTTTAGACTCATTTGTTCTCCTTCTTCCAGTAGGACTTTAATACCTTTAAATGAGTGATTTGGGATTTAGATACAACTTTTCTAATTGTTCCCGGTGGGAGAATTTGTCAACTGCAATTGTTCTGGCCTACAAATTTCTTCAACTTCCATGGAAACTTCAGTCCCACAGGCTGTTATTTATTAAAAATAAATGGCCTATACTTACTAAAAATATAAAAAGGATGTGAATAAAAAATATTTCTATCTATGGGAATGATATTTACATCATTCAGAATTAAGATAAAGACAGTGAATCTTCAATACTTCTTAGTCATCTGATTTTTATCACAGGTTAAGCTAGCAATGAACTATTCTGAAAATTTTTTTGCAAATAATAAAGATTTATAAATGATATTAGCAATATACAAACTAATTCAAATTATAAATCTCACAGGGACATATCTGAAATTTCTGTGTTATCTTAGAAAATAATTGCCATTGCTAAGATGATCATTTTTCTGGGGGTAATTTTTAAAAGCCTCAAGAGACAAAACTATTGCTTTTTAATGGTTAAGAAAAATCTTATAATTTTCATCTTAATATCTTCTCTGTTTGATTTAATGTAACTGGCTAAAAATTAGGACAAGAAGACATCACATTTTAAAGGTAGGTATATGAATACAAAAGTAAAAATATAAATGTTCCGGTACCCTTGTTCACCTATGATGCCAATTTCATAAGTTTTGAAATAGGTCTCAGTGTATGTTTTAAACCATAATATTTTAATTATTGTTTTCATATGTATAAAAATATACTTTCATAATATGTAATAAAATACTAGTTTAAGTATATGGGTACTGATGGATACCTAGGCTTTTTGTATTTAAGCTGAATAAATGTTGATATAAACACTTTTTTTCCTAAAGAATTATTAGAGTATAGCTTTTTATTAGGCTCAGGATATTTTAAAAATCTGTTTTATTAGAAAGAGGAGTTACTAAATTTTTCCTGTTATAAAGTTTTATGGCACGTTTTTAAAGTGAAAATGTATCATTATTGAACTATAGTAGAAAGAAAGACTTTATAAGCTAAATTACCTGTGACTCAGTATTACTTTTTTTTCCTCTCCAAATTAATGTTTGGCCGGCATTTTAAAGCAATCATTCTATTACAAAAGCAGCAGTAAAAATTTTGCTTTATATTTTTATTTTAATAAAAGGAGCTTTGTATAAAAATGGAAAGACTCCTAAATTCTCTAAAGTCATTACACTGATTGTTAAAGCTTTAATATTAGTTTTATGTCTTGATTTACTTACAGTTTCCTCTCCAAAATTTAGGGGAACTGCCTTAATTTGGGTGTTTTAATATTTAATAATTTGCTTTTAAATTTCCTTAAGCACTAACATTTATTTAAGAGGAAATTAGGAATAAATTCTGAAAGGCACACTGATTTTTAAAAATTATTTATGGTAGAGATTCGTAATGCAAAGTTATTGCACCATTTTATACAAAATGAAGACAAGTCCCTATTTCTAGGATCCATTGTATCTGAAAAAGTATGAGAGAAAAACTTATTCAATTCTACTCTATTTTATAATAGGTACTGCAAAATAAGGTACGTAATTTTCTGTAATCCTTACCCCTCAGATATTTATTATTTTCCTCCAATAGATTATCTTGTTCTACAAAAAAATCACATTATTCAATACTTTTTGATTATTAAAAGAGTAGCCACTGTGCAGAGTAAAGTGACAGACATTACATCTCTCAGGATGATAATTTACACCATGAGAATAGAAATGAATCAGAAATGTTTAATTGTGAACTTGAGCATACTAAGTTTTAAAATGTTTAAGGTACGCACAATGAATTACTAAATCGTCTTTATTTCTTATGCAAAAAAGCTGTAAGTGGGAATATTTTTGGAAGTGTTTATATGCTAATGTGTAGTGTAAATACATACATATATGGTAAAACTTTACCCCATTATAGAAGTGATATAATTCACCAGTTTTCTTTACTGTTGTTTAAAGAAAACGTTTAAATAGTTGTAACCATGAGGTATGTGTAATAAATTCATAGCTCTATCTGGTGTCATCAAATATGAAAGACACCTGAAAATCTTTGCTTTCACAGTAAAGAAAAGCAGTGGCGTGACTGAATGCTCATTTTATTTACTACTTCATGTTATATATGAGGTGCTTTAGTTTTTAAAACTCTAATTCTTCCAGAACATTCTTCTGAAACTCATTCTACAGCTCTCTTCCTTATTTTGACTAAAAGTGCTGAATTTAAAGGTCTAAATTGCCTATTTGATGAGTAGTTATACCGTTTCCTAACATATATGTTTGGTTTTGGTTTTGATTATTTTCCACCAAATAGATTTTTTTTTCGCTTTAAGTTCCATTTAAATTACATTCAAATTAGAAAAGTCCGATATTAAAGATTTTAGTACTTTTTGAAAACATTTAGGTAGAAACACAAAGTTAAATGGTCTTGTGGGAGAGAGGATGATGATGTACCCTACTGTGTTCAAACTAATGCCTGTGAAATGTTTAATAACCAAATAAAGTGGCTTAAAATTCATAGGTGGGAATTGAACAATGAGAACACTTGGACACAGGAAGGGGAACATCACATACCGGGATGCGTCATGGGGTGGGGGGAGGGGGGAGGGATAGCATTAGGAGATATACCTAATGTAAATGACGAGTTAATGGGTGCAGCAAACCAACATGGCACATGTATACGTATTTAACAAACCTGCACGTTGTGAACATGTACCCTACAACTTAAAGTATAATAAAAATAAATATATATAAAAAGTTTAAACCTACTTTATATTAACAAAATAATAAATAAGTATGGAAGATTTATATAAGGAATTAGGAAAATGAATAACAGTCAAACCAGAAGCTTGAGAAATAAGATAAAATTAAATTGCTTGGTCACTTTTTTGTTACATAATTATTCATGAAGACAGTTTCTATGTGACTTGCAAATTCTTCAGTTTCAATGGGACATCATACATATATGTAATTAAAAAACAGAATTAGAAAAGCTGGAATCATATATCACGTATATATATATACATATGTATATATGATAGTCCACTGAAACTATGTATGTGTGCACATGTGTATGTATATATGTGTATGTGTGTATATATGTGACATATACATGCGTATATATATGTCATATATATATATGTATATGTATATATCTTTGTCTAAAGCACCATAACCCAGTGACATAGTGCTTCTTTGCACATTATTTTAGTGAAAAGTGTGGCTTTCTCCAGTTTAGATTTGGTTGACACTTTTTGTTTCAGGCTTGATTTGAACTATTTATGTTAAAATCAATGTTTTTCCCTCTTTTTATCTGAGCTAGTAGAAGGCATAGGTTAGTGGCATCTACTAAATGTCAAGTATCCTTAAACTCTCTATCATCTTATTACTTTGAACACAAGAAAGAAAACATAAAAGCAAGGGAGAAGGATAAACAACTGCTGTGACCCTACTTGTGACTTCCTCTGCTTTGACTCTTGACTTTGCTTAGTGAAGGAAGAATTTCATTACAGATTGTGGAACAGTCCTGGTTTGTGCTTGTTTACAGTAAAAAGATCTGAAATTGGAGGATATTTTATATGATCACTTTACTTATGGACAAAATCTGTGCGCAGAAAAATTCTCAAATTCTTAGTAAATGAATAGAGTCAGTGTGCTCTTTCTGTCATTTGTAGTCATTATTTTTCCAATGGCAAATGAAATCCATTAGGGGGTTGTGAAATCAAGTTAGCAGACCACAACTAGATATTATTATTAATAATAATTTTAAGAAATAAAATTAGAAAAACTAGAATCAGAAATTTGGACTATTTGCTTTCAACTGTCGGACAGATAGAGTAAGCGTCTTATCATTCTTATCTAACTTGATAGCTACTGTTATTTTTTCTTATACTTTAGACCCTAGATTGAATATATATTTAAAGTTTTGTATTAAGTGTCACCATTGTAGAATAAGAGGAAATTATATTACAAAGTGTTGTGAATAAAAGACAGTGGAGACTCTAATAAGTGAAATTTATCTAAGATAAGTTTCCTAACATGTATCTTTATCTGATATCTAAGTCTTTCTTCATAAATTATCCTAGGCCAAAGAGTGTAGCCTTGAACAAGATTACACACATTCCTGGGCATTCTATATCCAATGACTGATTAATAAAGGGGTATTAAGTTCCACTGACCTTGTCCCAGTTGCCACAACTTTGAAGGTACATTTCAGCTCCTTTTAGAATCAATTGAACCTTCCATTGGAAATCATCCTCATTCAATTGCCCCAGGCTCAATTCTGCTTCCTCAGAAACACTTCCCAATTAACAGCCTTTTACTGAGATCTCTGATTCTGCTTCCTGGACAACTATAATAGAATAGTTATTTTTCTTTCCATGATTAGCAGCAAAAATGAGCCTTAGAATGACAAGAGTAAGTAGGAAATATAACATGTAAAGATCATCTCTGTGATACCAATTTGATATCTAGTCAAACTTTTTTTTCATTTATTAATCAGATTTTTAATGATGACTTCCTATGTGCCAAGTGCCTCACTAGAGTTTGGGTTAATATGATAACTAATGTCACATTAAATTCATGTTCACACACCTGCCCGGCAATTACAGTCTATTTTCTTGGTCTACTCATTCTTCTACTGTTTTAGACTGCTTACATTGTCTCCACTGTCATCAAATTTCCAACACTTCCTTCCATCTTCTTCCCTCTTGGCTTATATACCCACTTCCCATTTCATTGAAAAAATAAAAGCAATCAAAAAAAAAAAAAAACCTTGCACATTTCCTCCATGGCACATATCTAAACCCATAAAGATACCTATCTTTCCTCCTATTGCTGTAAGTGGACTCATAGAACTCCTACCTGAGGCGTATATCTTCATTTCTGCACTGGATCTCATTGTCCCTCATCTTATTGAAGTTCTTAATCTGGATATCTCTCTCAGTCCTATATCATGACTTTTTTTAATTTACCTTACCATTGGCATATAAATATGATGTCATTTCTGCCACTAAAAGGAAATTCCACTTGCCCTAACAGTGTATTAACATTCTTTCTCCAAATACTTTCATACCATTTTCTCTCAAACTCATTCCAGCCAATGCTTTATCCCACCAATTATTTAAAACCAGTGTTCTTAAGGTCATCAAATCACACGTTGCAAATTCCAGTATTCAGTTCTCAGTCACTGTGGAACTATCATTAGTATTTGCGTATTTTCCTCTCCCTTCTACTAAAAATAAAGTAAAAATTATCTTAGATCCCAGGACACCATACCCTCTGATGCTTTGCATTTTCTTTTTCTGTTCTGTTTTTTAATTTTTTTTTTAGATGGAGTCTCACTCTGTCACCAGGCTGGGGTGCAGTGGTGCGATCTCGGCTCACTGCAACCTCCGCCTCCCGGGTTCAAGCGACTCTCCTGCCTTAGCCTCTCAAGTAGCTGGGACTACAGGTGTGTGCCACCATGCCCAGCTAATTTTTGTATTTTTAGTAGAGACGGAGTTTCACCATATCGGCCAGGATGGTCTTGATGTCTTGACCTTGTGATCCGCCCATCTTTGTCTCCCAAAGAATTTTCTTTTACTAAGAAGAAAGAAAAAAGGTACTGGAAAGCTCCTATTTATTATCTTTTAAACTTTAGAGGTTCTTAGTAGAAAGATAAACTCAAGTTTAGTAATTTAGTGTGGAGTTTAAATGAAAGAGTTTTTTTTCATATGCAGGAAGTATTGACTATTAATTCCCAAAACGCCACCAAAAAACATGTTGGTAAAGTAGAGCTAAATTTATTAGACCTATCATAGTAAGAGAGAGCATTAGAAACAGTCTTAAAGCATCTCAGTATGAAAAAAATCAGGGAATGATATTTAGAAAGTTTTAGATTCTGGACTCAGGTGGCCTAATGCAGGTTTTTCTAGGCAGTACCCTGATTGGGACTGGGTAAATTTTGTGACATAATAATTTAAGATTGGGGAATACAGCAGAGTGAAGCTCTTAAATAGAATATTAATAAGTAAACTTGTTTAGTTAGCTGTTTATGTTAGTAATCTATTGTTCTTACATGAGAATATTTACCTCTATATATAGGTATAGAGCAATTTTCTGATGCAAAGAGTGAATTTATTGGCCTATAGCATAATATTCCTGGAGAAAAATTTTTTAGAACAAATGGTTAAATCATATTGACATACACGATCTAAGATTTTATTTTTGAATATTAGGCTATGTGGAAGCATGCTGTTTAAATTCTCAGAAGCCTGTATATTTTATGAGGCATCGTACTACATTTTGTCAATCTACTCTTAAACATAAATATGGTTATTTGAAATTTATTAATATTTTTAGAAGATACTAAGTATATATTTGACATGATTTTAAATTAGAAGTTAGCAAACTATGTCCAAGAACCATATTCTTTCTTGTGTATACATTTTTAATGAAGCACAGCCACACACAATCATTTACTTATTTTCTATGGCTAATTTTGTGCTGTAAGAGACCAGAGTAGTTGCAACAGAGACCTTATGACCTGCATGCCTACATTATTTACTGTTTGGTTCTTTAGAGAAAAAGTTCACTAACTCCTCTTTCAAATGGTTAAATACACGTATACAATTTTAGTTTGCAAGGCAAGAGAGTTTACTATGAAAATATTTGTAATTAAAATTAAAATAACATACTTTATATAAAAAGTAAGATTTTTATAAGTCTATCCATTTTCAACATTACTATGAAATAGGTAGCATCTTGCATATGACATAGATGATGTGTCCTTTACTAACGATATTACATTTAAACATGTTAGAATATTGATATTTTTACCTTATTCCATTATACTACACATAAATATAAAACTCATAACATTTAAACATAAATTTTTGTTAATGTTTTAAACAAAAAGTGGAATAAAAAGGTAATTTCTAAGATTTCTATAAATGTATAAAAGAGAAAGATTCAAGTAATTTAACTGTATAGAATTAAGAGAAAACAATTCTAATATTTGTTTACAATAAAAGGACTTTTCTGTGAGAAGAGGGCAATTTTCAGTCAAAGTGTTAAAATTTACTTTTATTTGAATGTTAGTTAAGAAAGAAGAGCACTTTTTCTATAAAGGGCTTTTATAAGACATATGTATTATTTAAATTGAGTTTCTATTTCCTAAGTAAATCTCTTTCCAGGAGATCTAATGAAGCCACTAAGGCTAAGACCCCAAAAAGATGTTAAACCAGCTGAGCAAATGTAAACTTTCAGTAAGAACAGATCTCATGCATATTTCATATGTAGAAGAAAAACTATGTGAAGTAATCACTTGCCCTTTCCCTGATATTTCAGGCAGTAGAAAATAAAAAGGGGAAAGCATAAAAGAAAGCCTCCAAATAGTCCTTTGAAAGGACATCTGGTAAGGCTGTAAGATTGCTGTGGTTGTTGAATCTTCTTTACATATTTAGAGCTGAATGTTTCTCAGGATGTTACAAGTTACAAGATTCTACGTTTTTATTGTTCATATAGTCAGTCTTTGGGGCCTAAACATTTCATACCTTGTAAAATAAATAAATTTAAAAACTAAACCAAAAACCCCGCGGCATCTTCAAAAACAAGCTGTAAATAGTTCCATGGCAAATTGTGATTGCTGTCAATCCTGGTACATATGTACATCCAAACACAAATAGCATTATCAAAAATATATGCAGGAATAAAAAAACATAAATGTCAGGCCTATTAAGGATCTTTTTTATAATTCAGGTACATATCAAAACCTAATTTTAGACAAAATCTAATTTAATTTCTTAAGAAATCAATGAAAGGGTTCATTTATAAGGACAAAAGCTTAATTTATCTTTTAGCTACCATGCCAATGAGATCCCTTAAAAATAGACCTGTAACTCAGGCTATAAGAAATTTGAACAATTTGTAACCTCTTTTGTTATTTATTTGCTTATTCTCAAAATGAAAAACCCATAAATTGGTCCTTTTCTGTCTAAAAGTTGCAATGGAATTAAACAGTTGCAGAAAAACCATCTTGTACAAATTCAGTTTGGTGTTGGAGGAAAGAGAAAAATGTTGAGGTATAAATGAGAGGTAGCAAATACCAACAGGACAAAGTAGACTGAGCTTGATGGCCTTGCTGTAAGAAACATTCCTGCATATGTTAAGGGTAAAGTAGCTGAATAGTAGAAAGAACTACTGGTATTTCTTACAACACGTCCAAGGCTTTTATCACATCAACTGCAAGGTCAGTCAATGATATTATCCATTCTTGAAAACTGCAAAGTTTGTCAAGAAGGTGAGTTTACCTGGTTTTGTAACATTTATTTTTAGATATACCATTGCATTACTTTTCTATTGCTATTACAAATTACCACATATGTAGTGGCTTAAGACAACACAAATGTATTATCTTAAATTTCTGGAAATCAGAAGCCTAAAATAGGTTGGCAAGGCTGCATTCTTCTCGATGCTTTGGGAATGAATATATTTTCTTACCTTTTCTGGCTTCCAGAGTCCACCAATTTCTTTGGCTTCTGTGCTTGCATTACTCCAACCTCTGCTTCCTTTATCACATCTAGCTGAGTCTGACTCCTCAGCATCCCTCTTATAAGGACCAGCATTATTACATTTAGCCCACCTGGATAATCCACGATAAACTCTCCATCTAAAGTCCCTAATTTAATCACATCTGTAATGTCCCTTTAGATATGTAAAGAAAAATATTTATAGTTTTCAGTGATTATCACATCATATATTTGTAAGGGCATTATTCTATCTAACATAAGTATTATTTACTTATGCTCCTCTTCATTCCCCTTCGCTAACTACTTATTTCCAATATATTTACCACAAATGTTGTGATTCTGTATACAGTAAATTTCAGTAGGGTAGGGCTCTGTATTTCCTTTTGTCATCCAATGAGTTCCAAAGACCTGGAACTATGCCACATACATAATAGCATTTGCATCTGTTAGGTTATAGTGCCTTATCTGAACCCCCCAAATCGTAGTGGTTCAAGACAACAAAAGTTTATTTTTCATTTATTCCATCAGTCCTATACATATCAATGTGGTACCCTGCTCTGCATGATGACGTTTAGCCACAGCAACAGAAACTCTTGAGCTCCTCCATTCCTGAAGTAAAGAATAGACTCCTGGATAATTGTGAAGGATATTTTCATAGCTTCAGCATAAAGTGGCATTTTTCACTTTTATATTTGATTGATCAGAAGTAGCCACATGCTTCTGACTGATTGTAAGAAAGCTTTAAATTGTGTTTTCCTACTAGCCCAGAAAGGCAAGAATAACTCGATGTTTTGAGTACTCTATAAATATTTGTTGACTATTAAATAGGGAACAGTAAAAAGAATTCTGCTATGCCACGAAAAACTCTTCCTTCCTAAACAGACACATTCCAAACACTTAAATCAACATCCTGTCTCTCAAACTGAAACTGCAGGGAGCTTGAGAACATAAGACAATAGGTGTTTTTTATATTACAAGTTTTATCTTAAAAATGCATTGAGGTTTTGAGTACTACTCCACAATTTATTGATACCTGATTCAGTATAAAAATGTGGCTCTTTTAAAATTCAAATCCCCAGGATATGCATTATATTTACTTACTCAAGTCTTTGCATGAGTATTTAGTTTAATAAGCACACTGGTGAAAAGCAAAAACTCAGCAATTGATTATTCAATATGGGAAGTGAATTTCCAATCTAGATAATTTAGAACTCAGAGTTTAAAAATGATACAGAAATTTTATTTAGAATGAGAGTGTTAGTCCATTTAAATTCACCAGAGATGCGATTTCATTTATGTACTTGACCTATTTATTTAGATAACAGCCTGTTGGCATCTCATCATTAAATTCTACTAATCTTTATATATATTTTTTTTATTATTATACTTTAAGTTCTAGGGTACATGTGCACAACGTGCAGGTTTGTCACATATGTATACACGTGCCATGTTGGTGTGCTGCACCCATTAACTCGTCATTTACATTAGGTATATCTCCTAATGCCATCCCTCCCCTCTCCCTCCACCCCACAACAGGCCCCAGTGTGTGATGTTCCCCTTCCTGTGTCCAAGTGTTCTCATTGTTCAATTCCCACCTATGAGTGAGAACATGTAGTGTTTGGTTTTTTGACCTTGCGATACTTTGCTGAGAATGATGGTTTCCAGTTTCATCCATATCCCTACAAAGGACATGAACTCATCATTTTCTATGGCTACATAGTATACCATGGTGTATATGTGCCACATTTTCTTAATCCAGTCTATCATTGTTGGACATTTGGGTTGGTTCCGGGTCTTTGCTATTGTGAATAGTGCCGCAATAAACATACGTGTGCATGTGTCTTTATAGCAGCATGATTTATAATCCTTTGGGTATATACCCAGTAATGGGATGGCTGGGTCGAATGGTATTTCTAGTTCTAGATCCCTGAGGAATCACCACACTGTCTTCCACAATGGTTGAACCAGTTTACAGTCCCACCAACAGTGTAAAAGTGTTCCTATTTCTCCACATCCTCTCCAGCACCTGTTGTTTCCTAATGATCGCCATTCTAACTGGTGTGAGATGGTATCTCATTATGGTTTTGATTTGCATTTCTCTAATGGCCAATGATGATGAGCATTATTTGTAGATTTTCATTCTCTCAATAGTCTTCAATAAATACTTACAAAAACCATAGTCACTTTTCTTGTCCCTTTATGTTGCATGTTTCCATTTACCTTTTTTAAAATTTGAGAGCTGAAAGAACTTTTGAGTTTATAGAAAACATGTACTTTTGTCCTAGAAAGTATCGAGTGTTCAATGAGTACCACTACCAGCACTGCCAAAATAAACTGTTCAAATGTATATCTAGGAATCATAAAACTAGGATGATAATCCACATGAATGATTTTCACATACTAGCTCTTTTCAGTAGGTCACACCTATTTTCTACTTATTTCAGTAAAATGAGTATAATAGATATCTATGTATTTGTTATTGTTGTTCTAGCACCTCATCCTCTGATTCCCTAATAAAATCTGAAAGTGAATTTTATCTGTGCATATTTAATTTGCTTAAATCCTGCATCTTCTATAAATACATTTCCCTTTTATTTTCTAGAATAATTAAAACTCTTCTCTATTTCTCAGTTCCAAACTACTTTCTACACTCTTCTATTTTCACTATATATATTCTAAATCAAATTTTCTTGGAGCATCATTTCCCGTCTTTCAATCTTTCATCTCCTTTGGGACATCTCCCCACATTATAAGGTTGTCATGCAAAGAGAAAATGATCCTTGATGTGAGGAGGCTGAGGTGGATTTTAGCATGTATTCTGTTTTAGAAAAAAGAGAACACTAGCTCTCAATTTAAAATGAGAAGATAAACATTTGACATGATACCCAATTTGGCTATGGAACAGACTGTCAGCCCAGATAGAATTCTTGTTATATTTCCATGAGCTGAAGGCAATGACTATTTATGTCAATTTAATCTATGCCACTTTTTGAGCTATAAATGTAAATGTGTACACATACATAATTATGACTGAGAAAACACATTAACAGAAAAGTTAAATAAATGAACACATATGGCTTAAGAGGTTATCTTGATTATCTAAATGTAATAGCACAAACTAGACTATATATGTTTTATATGCATATATTTACAAATATCAATTTTTAATAAACATAATAAAGATGTGTGGCAGAAATGACTTGAATTATGTATTTGTGAATCCTTTTTTCAAAATGAATTATTAGAGAAAGAAAATGGAAAAACTTTTTATTAACTCACTTATCAACCAGTTGGCATCCAGATTAGTAAGAGAATCCAGTGGTAACCCTTCTCTGAATCCATATAACAGACATAATTTATTTCAATTATAATATTTATGTTTTGAATTGATTCAATTAAGGAACTCCTCATTAATACAATTTATCACTAACCTTTTTTTTATTTTTATTTTTTGAGATGGAGTTTCGCTCTTGTCGCCTAGGCTGGCGTGCAATGGAGCCATCTCGGCTCACTGTAAACTCCGCCTCCTGGGTTGAAGCGATTCTCGGGCCTCACACTCCGAGTAGCCGAAACTACAGGTACACGCCACCACGACCGGCTGATTTTAGTATTTTTAATAGAGATGGAGTTTTACCACGTTGGCCAGGCTGGTCTCAAACTCCAGACCTCAGGTGATCCACCCGCCTCAGCCTCCCAAAGTGCCGAAATTACAGGCGTGAGCCACCGCGCCAGGCCAATCTCTATGTTCAACAGCTAACTCTCCTATTCTAGGAATTATTCTTCCCCAAAGGGCCAAAATAATTATCAAATAATGAATAAGTCTTGAAATATATGTTCTTAACCATTAAAAAAACAAGTATATACTATAGCATTCTTTTAAATAATAGATAAAAGCAATGAAATATGATAAATTGATTACCTTATTTGCAATATATGTTAGTGTGCATAAACTTGGCCAATTATTAGATATTCCTTTATGTGGATCATTAATACACCCTTAGTAATTCTAGAGAGAAGATGAATCTCTTTACTTTAGATTATATAAGGAAAGTTTTTCTTTGATATGATTGAATCGGTGCTTCCACAAATTCATTTATAACTGTCTTTATAAACCTTTTTCTTCTTCTCACAAACACTTCTCTGTAAGTTCATTAAATCTTCAACAAAGCTGTATTTCATCAACCTTAGGTTTTTTTTTTTTTTTTTGAGACGGAGTCTCGCTCTGTCGCCCAGGCTGGAGTGCAGTGGCGGGATCTCGGCTCACTGCAAGCTCCGCCTCCCGGGTTCACGCCATTCTCCCGCCTCAGCCTCCCAAGTAGCTGGGACTACAGGCGCCCGCCACTACGCCCGGCTAATTTTTTGTATTTTTAGTAGAGACGGGGTTTCACCATTTTAGCCGGGATGGTCTCGATCTCCTGACCTCGTGATCCGCCCGCCTCGGCCTCCCAAAGTGCTGGGATTACAGGCGTGAGCCACCGCGCCTGGCCAACCTTAGGTTTTAATTTGACCTCAATTGTCCTGAAAGCCAGGATTGTCTGGAAATAGATGTTTTTTTCACAATGAAATTTAGTTGTAAGTAATTGTTATCAATTTCTATATAATCTACATATTCAATATTTTAGTTATGACAAATAACTTAAAATTATTCTAAAAATGCATCTAGGGCAGTCAGGCACAGTGGCTCACGCCTGTAATCCCAGCACTTTGGGAGGCCGAGGTGGGTGGATCACCTGAGGTCAGGAGTTCGAGACCTGCCTGGCCAACATAATGAAAACCCATCTTTACTAAAAATACAAAAAATTACCTGGGAATGGTGGCAGGTGCCTGTAATCCCACCTAATTGGGAGGCTGAAGCAGGAGAATTGCTTGAACCCAGGAGGCAGAGGTTGCAGTGTGCCAAGATCCTGCCATTGCACTAAAGCCTCAAAACTTTAGTTTTGAAACTCTGTCTCAAAAAAAAAAAAATACAAAATACAAAAAATTAGCCGGGTGTGGTAGCATGTGCCTCTAGTCCTGTGTACTCAGGAGGCTGAGACGGGAGAATTGCTCAAACCCGAAAGGCGGAGGTGGCAGTGAGCCGAGATCGCACCACTGCACTTCAGCCTGGGCTACAGAGGGAGACTCCCTTTCAAAAAAAAAAAAAAAAAAAAAAGATGTACCTATCATCTCTTTGCTCTTCTATTTATTGCTACACAAGTTTAAATATCCAAAATGCAAGTGCTAAGAAAATCAGATACCTAATTATGCAACTTTTATTTACAAGTAACCCCTTATAGTTCAGTTATAGAGCATGGATAGTTTCAGATTTTCATGTAATCTAGAATCTGGAATCTCCATAGTAACCTGAATTGATCATTTGTCATTGAATATGATCCATTGAGAAATGCAGGAAGAGTTTAAATTTGTAATGAAATGATACTTGATATTCTTGGTAAGTCAGTGTCACAAAGCCATATATTAACTTTCATTACTATCCAGAGTGATACATTGTGCTCACTTCCCCCATTCATGTACTATTTTCAGTGTTGCACAAGTTAATGAACACTTTCAATTCTGTCTCATCAATAAAAAGCACTCCACAAATTCTCAGGGGATAAAGATCATCTAAATCTTCAGGCCAAAATTCATAGTTCTACACTATTTCTGAAATACAATTCATGCTTCTTTATTATGCATCCTTTCTGCTCTTATGTAGAAACCTGTGATTAATACTTTACTAAAATTTCTCCTGACACTCTTTCCACAGGGTAGATCCTGGCTACTAAGTGTTATTTCATGTTCTTGACCCTATGCAAACAGAGAAAAGCAGAGTTATATATAAGAAATCACTATACCTTACTAAACTGAAAAGACTCAATTTTTTATTTTTCTTTCATTCTGTAAGAAGTATTGATATGCTTACTAGTGCAGTGATAGCTTAAAAATTGGTTTGGGCATATCTGGCAGCACCTAGGTTGGGTTATGAACCCCTGATTCTTCAGTCTCTCCAAAGTACATATAGTTGCTTTCTTTTTTGTGAATGTCATTGAAGAAAACTGCAATTTCATAGTTTATTTCACCTTTTGAAATGAAATGCAGGA